>NC_000012.12:28153515-28306211 GCF_000001405.40 Homo sapiens | reverse complement strand
ACTGCTATATTTTTGGTTTTTACTCTAAAATTGAAATAGTTGCTTGAATACCTGAAAATGTGCGGTAAGATTCGCTGAAAAGAGAAATACTTATTCTTCTTTGTATTATTTTCCCTTTTCAAGTTCAAGATTTGAAATGCAAAGCCAAGTAAAGTTTAATAAATGAGATACTCAAATCATACTTTGGTAACTAAGGCTACTTAAATACTTTGCAATTGTGCCACGACACAAACATATTATATAGTTTTTTTGAATTCTAAGTATTAGCCTCAAAATTAGAATATCTATTGCAGAAATACTTCTTTTAGACAAATAGGCTAAAAAAGAAATTAAAAAAGCAACAATTAAATTAGCAGGCAATTTTTTAAATATGCAAACCTCCTTTAAAAATATGTTTGTCTTTACCTGTGCTTTTGGAATAGTTTGACTCACAATGCTATTTGCTGCATGTGTATTCTCTGGTGATGAAATAATGGCATCAGAAGAGAGGCAGCCAATGGAAGAAGAGTGGTCACGGTCCAGTACAATCTCAGGAGAAGATGGTGAAAGATGGACTCCAGATACTAAAGAAAAACAACAACAACAAAAAGGATAGGATTATTAAAGAGAAAACAGAGAGGGAACAGGTTGAAAGGAAGAAAGAGAGCTGAAATAGAGGAAAAGAAAAAAGTAAGGAAAGTAAAAGCAATGAGAGTGAAAAATCAGGATTCTATGACTATTCCTCAGGGCCCAATCTGTGAAAGCTAAAACTAGTGTTTTTAATTTAACATGACACTTCCATGTAAGATCCAGGCAAACAAAATAGTTTTATAAAGTCTTAGTGTTTACATACCAACACAGTGCCATAAGGAGTACATTTCCAACATAGAGAAAATACTCATATATATATATTATATATTCATACATTTCATTCAGAAAAATCCATTTAATTTTTTTAAAAAGCGCTAGAGTACCTACCAGTGCCAGTCACAGGCATTAGGGACTGAAGAGACAGCAGTGAGCAATACAGATGCACCCATGTACTCAATGGCTTTATGACTCGGTAGGCAAGTCAACCAATTAATATTTATTACAATAAAATAAGTAAGGGGAAAGAACAATTACTTTGAAACAACTAATCCAACAATATCTGCATTAAAGTCTCTTTTGTAACAAACAAAAGGTTTTTCATGCTAAAATAAAGTCAGTTTAAGTTTGCTGAATTGTCCATACAGAAAAATAATAACTTTTCTTTTCTTTTTCAATTAGCTTTAAGAAAAATAGATTGTGATTAGAGCTCAAATATAAAGGTCCTGAAAGGGAATCCAAATATCAAGTATGACATAGGACAAAAGTACGGATATAAGCAAGATAAACATGTCGTACATATATTACTTGATTTTCCAGTGTTCTTTCTAAAAATTCAAATAAGTTTGTATTATGTATTTTAAAATTTAAGGAAAGTGAGTCACTTTTTGGTGCAGCCCATTTATACATTTTAACTTTCTAAACTATAAAGACCTTTATTCCACATTGGCATCAGCAACTTCAGTGAAGTTCTACCATAAACTCTGGAAGGCAGCTCACAATGAAAATTGCATGTTTCCCTGAAGAAAGACATTTATAAGGCCATTAGATATAAACAAAATAACAAATACATCAATTTGTGATTGATATTCTAAGAATTCAATTATCTTATACACACTTTTATTATGTAGCAATATTGCATTTTTAGCAATATTGCATTTTTGACATATTATGTGCCATACTATATAATTAATATAGTCTAGCTTCACCCATAGGCATTTCTTTTTTTCTTTTTTTTTTTTTCTTTTTTTTTTTTTTTTTTTTTTTTTTAGACGGAGTCTCACCCCGTTACCCAGGCTGGAGTACAATGGCGTGATCTTGGCTCACTGCAATTTCCACCTCCTGGGTTCAAGCAATTCTCCTGCCTCAGCCTCCCAAGTAGCTGGGATTACAGGCACTCGCCACCACGCTCAGCTAATTTTTGTATTTTTAGTAGAGATGGGGTTTCACCATGTTGGCCAGGATAGTCTCGATCTCCTGACCTCATGATCCGCCCGCCTCGGCCTCCCAAAGTGCTAGGATTACAGGTGTGAGCGACCACACCTGGCCAAGCATTTCAATTCTTTAACTCAAATACAGAAAAGTGAAATTTTAATTGATGTTTGTACTTGGTATCCCTACTTCGGAAATTATTTTTTTTCTAATCTTCACTATTCTATACAAGTAGAATAGTGAGAGTTCTTCAAAATGTCAAAATATTCCCACTTCTAATTCTGTATCATAATTTACAACAAAAATATTACTAATGAATTTTTAAAGGCATGAAAATAACTAGTACAGTGGAGTGAGAAGGAATACAGCCTTGTGATTAAGAGCATAGACTCTAGAACCACACTGCCATACCAGGTATAGAACAATGGACAAGTTACTTAACTTCTCTGTGCTTCAGTTTTCTCATCTATAAAATGGGCAGAGATTTTGCTGATAAGGTTGAAATTGTGGAAAACATGTAAAGCATTTAGTAAAGTGTTGATATTTTATTATTTCAAAGATTATCATTAAAATTTATTGAGCAAGTATGTTTAAAGGTATATATGTGGCTGTGATCCTGTATTCAAGAAACTATTAACAGTTTCATTCTGATCTAACACCTATTTTAATATTTATTTATGTTACTCATATTTATAGGCATAAGATAAGATGTCATGCTGTCCCAAGTTAAATTCTCATCCTGTAACATTAAATGTTCAAGTGTATCATGTTAGGGAGAAAGGAGGGAAAGTAGGTAGAAAACAGGAAGAGTGGGAGCGAGTAAGAAAGAAAAGAGAAAAAGAAAGAGATGAAAGGGAGAGGTTGAAGGAGGACAGCAGAGAGAGGGAATGAAGGTACTCTGAATCACATACTAGCTAGTACCATACTATGACCCTTTCTCTTCATAACAAAAATTCTTCAACAGTTCATAACCCGTCTCCATTTTCTTCTTCCTCGACCCAATCTTCATAACTCCACTGGATCTGTTATTTAAGATACTACTTGTTGTATCAGATACTATTAAATCAAATAAACACTTCTGATCTTATCTTTCTTTAGTTCTCCAGAGAATGATAATGACCCTCCATTTTTCTTAAAACTCCTCCTTTGGTGCCTGTTACACATGATCTCCTATATTTCTACCTAACACTTTGACTACCATTTCCTTGATTCCTTTTCAGGCTCTTTCTCCAATAAACCACAAGTTTCATTATTTCATATCTCTTCTGATCTTCTC
This sequence comes from Homo sapiens, assembly GCF_000001405.40. Classification (NCBI taxonomy): domain Eukaryota; kingdom Metazoa; phylum Chordata; class Mammalia; order Primates; family Hominidae; genus Homo; species Homo sapiens. The sequence continues at coordinate 28,302,937 of NC_000012.12, read as the reverse complement.
ACTGTACTGAATATTCCAGATTACCACTTTCAAAACCCACTCTTCAAATTACCACCTCTAAGCTAATGATACCCAATACATCTCCAGTATAAATCACTCTGCAGAAATCTAGATCTATATACTCACCTTACTACCAGATAGTTTCATTCAGTTGTCCAACAGGTATACCAAGCTTGCCCATCATCTTAAATAAACCTGCTTTGCTTCATGTTTTCCATCTCAGTTAATAATACATCAAAAAACCATTTGCTCAAGCCAGAAATGATACCACTAAGTGCTAACTTCACTCCAGTCACACCATACTACTAACATTCCCTGACTCTGCCCCGTCAGAGGTACTGACCTCTGTGACCTCACAATATTACTGTCTAGGTAAAAGCCATAAGAAATGGATTCAAATTTAAACATTAACAATTTATGCATTATGCAGCCTTAGGCAAATTACAATAACTCTTCTAAGCCAAAGTTTGCTCTTGTGAAAATGGGGAAATAATAGGTAGCTCAAAATGATGTTATACAGCTTAAATGAGATAATGCATACCAACCACCTAGAGCTCAGTGACAGATACATGCTAAACATTCAGTAAATGGAAGTTGTCATTGAAGTTATAAGTTGGCAACATTCAAAACAAGCTTTTCCAGAAATCTTTTCACACCTATCCCATTATTCACCCAAGCACAATATAATTCTAATTTTTCATTATCTGTTAAGATACTATAAGATTTCTAAGAAATAGTGACAAACCATTGCATAACAATATATGGGATACATTTAAAGCAGTGATTAGAAAGCAAACTTCATAGCCCTGAAGTTAAAAAACAATGAATTAAATTCCGAGCTCAAACTAAAAAAGAAACAAAAAAGAAAATTTAAAAAGTAGAATAAGGAAAATAATAAAGATACTGCATTCATTGAAGTAGATTAGTAAGAAAAAAGGGTACATATAACTAATCAAAATCCTGAATTTCAAATGAAAATTAAACAAAATAGTAACTAACAATAAAAGGGAAAGAACTCAAATATACAAAATTAAATGACAAGGAGAATATAGCTATCAAAACAGAAAAAATTAGTAAGCAATAAGGCTCTTCTACAGACTTCTAAGTAAATCAAAGCATTTAGAAAAATGAAAAAATTCCTAAAGAAATGTAGTTTCTAAAAGTTGATCTGATTAAATATTTTTTTCAACTTTTAAAAATAAATTTTCTGTGAAAAAAATAGGCAACTACCCAACAAAGAAAGCATCAGGCTCAGATTATTTCAAGAGGATTTCTACCAAAAATTCAAACATTATACAAACCCAATATTCTAAAATTGAGAAGAACACTGAAAATGAAGGAAAATTTCATTAACACTACAATTAACATAACATTAATAGTAACACCTTATAAAGACATTAAAAATCAGAAAAATTCAAGATTTTCAGATTAGAGTATCACTTATAATGAAGTATAAGTTCTAAATAAAATATTAAAAAAATGAATCCAGCACCATATTAAAATGATATGTAATGAACCAATAGAACTTACTCCAGGAATGCAAGACTGGTTACCTATTAAAGAATTCATTAATATAATACTCCATAATAACAGAATTTTAAAAAAAATTATATGATTATCTCCAGACTCTGGAAATGCCCGTGATAAAACTGAACACCCATTTCAGTTAAAAACAATCAGAAAATAGAAACTGATGGACGCTTTTTAAGAAAATAAAATATATAAACCTCAGCCCTAAAGGCAGCAACTTAACTAATGGGAAAAGATTAAAGGTGTTTCCGTAAAGATGAGGAATAAGAAAAGGATGCCTACTAACTCTCTATCTTTAAACATTGTACTAAAGGCACAAATCAATGCAAGTCAACAAGAGAAATGAAATAGCACCATAAAAAAAGAAAAAAGGTGAAAATAATTTCATGTTTCTATCATGAGAATACATATAAAATTAACTCTAATAATAAAAGCATTCAGAAGAGCAGCAGGATATAAACTTGACCAGCAGAAACCAATATAATTCATATGTAAAAACAATAACCATTTAGAGAATGTAATGGTAAAGAAAATAAGTATTTTTCACTGCAACAAAGACACAATACAGTACTTAAGAATAAATTTAGCAAGAAATGTGAGGAAAACTTTAAAACACTCCTGAAAGACAAAGAAATAGACCTAAACAAAGGTAAAGATATCTCTTGTAATAGGATAGAACATCTAAATATCATAAAAATCCCAGTCCTCTCTTAATTAATGTATAGGCTTAATACAATCCCAATAAGTTTTTTATAATGAAGTTAGATAAATGGGCATTAAATGTGACATTAAAAAAGTGAGCTTGAGAGAACAGAACAACCCTAAAAGAGAAAAGCTATATGAGGAATACCATTCCCTCTTATTAAAATATACTAAATTAAACTATATTAAAACATACTATTTATCAAAATTTGCTGTATTAAATTATGTTATACAATCTCTATAAATAAGATGGTATATTATTTGGCACAGCAATTAACAGATCAGAAGAACACATCAGAAAGTCCAAAAATAGATCCAAGTATGTGTGAAGCAAGTATGTGATAAAAGCAGCATTTCAAATCACTGAGTCAAAGATGGGCTTGTTAATAAATAGTGATAGAACAATTGATTAGTTGTTTGGAAAAAAGTATTAAATAAAATTAAACCCTTATATCATATCATACACAAAAAGAAACTCCAAAGAGGATCAGGGATCTAAACAGTCTAATAATGAGATCATATACCCTAGGAGAAAACATGAGTGAGTTCTTCTTTACCTTAGACATAAGAAAGGGCATTCTAACTATGGCTTGATTATAGATACAACACAAGGAAAGACTGACTAATTTCATCATATAATATATTAAACGTTTTTTCTGTCAAAACAAATATAAAAACCAACTAACAACTTAGAAAAAAAACTAATATGTATAACATGTATCACAGATAAGGGCCAATATTCCTAATAAATAAAGAACATTTAAAACCTGGGGAAAACAATAATATGTATAACATGTATCACAGATAAGGGCCAATATTCCTAATAAATAAAGAACATTTAAAACCTAGAGGGAAAAAAAGGTTGAGGGAATAAAAAATATCCATACAATGAGCAAAAGATGTGAACGATTTACCAAAATGAAAATATACAAAAGGCCCTTAAATATATGAAAAGACAAAGATACATACATCTACTTATTTGCTGTAAAGGAAATGTATGAAGGATAAAGCCAAAAACAAACAGGACTGATAGTGGAAGATCGGCAGGAATGAGGTCGAAAGATAATAAATGAATGGCAAGAAATCTCTCTTCTCTGAATATAGGTTTTAATACAGTTCTCAACTTTTGGCACCATGTTAACGTTTCACATACTCAATAAAAGAAAAATGAAATCAACAGGCAGGGGAATGAGAAATCCTAAAACAGAATACAAAGAACAACAAATGAACTTGCAAATGAATAACCTGATCACATAACACAGTATGAGAGAGGGAGGGGTAAGAACTAACCCAAGTTACTTTGGGACATAGTATTTTGATTGAATGTCCTCAGTGTAAGAACAAAAAGAACACTAAATAAATACTGAGGAGAATAAGAAAAATGAGAAGGAAAGGGAAGAAAATGATAAAGCAAATGTGGTAAAATGTTAACCTTTGAAGAAAATGAATGAAGGATATATGGGAATTATTTGTCCATTTCTTCAAGGTTTTCTGTAAGTCACAATAAAAGTAAAGAGGAAACAGCAAAGGGGAAATTATATAATAAAAAAGAAACAACACATCTCAAGAATTACTCACCAGAGGAAAAATAACTTGGTCTCCACAAAATCCTTCCCTAGGCAAAACTGCTAAATAAAGAAAGACTTGCTACCACTAAAAATATATATCAGAAAGTTTCCACCAGTTACTGTTCATAACAGCAAACAAGTGGCAACAACCTAAATACTGACATAAGATGGGTACCTGAGTTGTGGCATAATCAATTATTTATCAGTGAAAATAAAGAAACTACAGATATATGAAACAACATGACTGAATCTTAGAGACAAAATTTGGGTTAAAAATATAAATCCTGAAGATTTCAAACAGTATGAACCCATTTTTATAAAGCACATAAACAAGCAAAGCTCTTATATATATATATATGTGCACACAAGCACACACAATTTTTTGTTGTTGTTGTTGTTGTTTTTTTTTTACAAAATCAAGGAAATGCTAACATAAAATGGAGGACAGTGGTTCCTCTAGGGACAAAGGCAAAGGGATAGGATAGAAGAAAAATTATGAAATTGGTTAACACTCTAGTTCTTAAATAGCAGATTCAGGTGTGTTATTTTTAAATACAACAAAGAAAAAATAAAAAAATAACTATACCTGCTTAAAAATATACTTCTAAAGACTTTTGTTTCAATATCCTACCTAATTGAAATAATCAACCCCCAGGAGTCACGTTAACCCCCAATCAAAGCATGCTCTGAGTTAATAGGATAGGAAAAGATCCAGCTTCAAAGTAAAGACTAATAGGGGCCAACTAGCTTTTGTGGGGGGAAAAAAAAAAAAAAAACTCAACAATCAGCAACAGACCAATAAACACAAAATTTGGAGATGCAAGCCTTTCTGGCATCCTGCTAATCAGACCAATAAGACATATGAAAAGTTGAATGTAAAGTGCTTACAATTCATAGGCACTATCAATTTATGAGGCATCAGAGGAATTTTCAGAAAGTTGTTGAATTTGATACTATGTTTACTAAGTGTTTCATAACCCAAATCCAATTTTTAATATAAAATGAGAAAACAAATGAATAGCATCTGTGAAAGAAAAGAGAGCATATTATTTCCCTCTAAGTGAGAACTAGATTTTTTTCAGTTAAACCTCTACAGTTTTTGCTATGCTACAATTCACATAGCTTCACTAATTTAAGGTGACTGCCCTATAACATTCAACCCTTAGAAGAAAATCTGTCCTAGTAAATATTGTCCACGTATATAGACACAAAATGTTATTTTATAGTAACGATGGTATACATGTTTTAAATGTGTGTGCTTAATAAATGGGAAATTGTAAACATAATTTTAAAATTACAAATTCTAGTATGTAAAATATAAATATCTTCTCACTTAGTCAAGGTGCAATTTTTAAAGTTCCAAAGTGCTTACAGTATTCTTTGGTCTATTAAAAATCGTGTAATGTCAGTCCTCATGCCCAAAATCTTTAAATGCAGGAAATCAGGTGTGCCCAACAACACCTACTTCCACAAAAACACAGCCAAAATTTTTTAAGAGAAATCTATAAAATTTTGTTTCTTTTGGTATGTTGTTTGTTTGCTTGCTTTTAATGCTTAAGCAGAGTATAGATACAATTTGCTTTATTTTAAATGTGAAATCCTTGGTGTTCTAAGATTTAGAGAATATAAGTCAGCACAATATTCCTTCACAGCTACAAAGCAAATCAAAAGTGCAATGAATGGCAGTTCTTCATTTTTACCTTTGTAAGGGTAACTAGCAAGTCACTTGGACATATCATTTTTCATTGACAGATCTCTTCTAAAGCACAAAAAGCTAACTATGTCAAAACATGACACAGGCGAAGGAGCACCAAGTTTCCAAACAGTGTGCAATTTTTTTTCCCAGTAATTCTGTTTGTGGTCATTTCTGTTTCATTTTACATAAACATAATAACTCTTATTAATTCTAAATAAGAAATGGGTAAAAATAGCCATGCACTTTTACCTATACCCCCCAAAAAAATCTGTTTATCTCTGTTAATGATTAAAATAATTCAAGAAGAATATGCCAATAAAATAATGATTTTTATATCTTGTAACTCAGAAAATAGTTTTGACCTTTAATTTTCATTCAAACACCCTATTATCCAATGCAGGTCCTTGTTTTTATCCCATTCTTTCATCTTTTAGGTACATTAGAGGCTGGTGACTATCTGCTTTCATAAACTGTCATCTCACCTCTGATCCCCAAATGTATTTTCAGGTCTATGTTGTTGAACCCACATCTTCCTATTCAATGCTCATTGCTGACACCTTTGAAAATCACTCATGTAGGGAAATCACTGTTATGAAAAAACAAAGAATTTGCAAGTGCTTATGGAGATCCAAATCACATATCTAAATATGAAGATGTTACTAAAAAAAATTTGAAACTAAGTGTACACATTTCTTTTAAAATTTACAGAAAATGGTGAAAGTCAGTGTTTAGAAAATCCTTGTTTCTATCCAAGGAGGGTTACTCACAGGAAATGACCCTTGATATATAATGTATATGTTTATACATTATATGTATAGATATATAGATGTAATATAATGGATTTTAGGATGTATCTAAGACATCTAGGTTGGAAATTGAAGGAAAAATATATAATAGCTTTTAAAAGGCCAAGATGGAGGAACATAGGAAATAAAAATGATCACTTCCTTAATAAAATGATTACATCATTGATAAAATGTCTACCATTTTAGTTATTTTTAATTATTTTCTAGAGTTATTGGCATACTATAAACAAAGACTCCACCTCTACTCGCTTCTTTGAGGAATAACAGTGTTCCAGAGGGCTGTTTGGGTAACCCTGTATACTACAAATTGCAATAATCAAATTTCGGAATTCTGCAAATGACAAAAAAAACTGTTACCATTTCTAAAAGAGATGCAGAGGAAGAGGCCTCGTAATCTTTTGCTAGCATAGTCAACATAAAATTATATAATATAAACATAAATATAAATGTAACTTTTTGAATGGGAAAATTTAAAAAATAAAAAATTTAAAAAATAAAATTTAAAAAAATTTCATTCCCCACTGCTTCTTTAATATCACAGCAAGAAAATACCACAGCATCCAAAAATAAATGAAAATAGAAATAAACTAATGAAGTAAAATACAATAAAAAATGATATAAGGAGTCTAAACAGTTTGAAGAATATGGGAGGAATATTCCAAAATCATAGTATCTTTTTATCCAAATTTACTATCTAAAAATAAAAGGCTTTTTTCTTTTAACTCTTGCTCACACTGAGTGAACAAAATTCTAAGCAATTTCTGAAGTGCAAGAAAAAAATTATATCACACCTTAAGCTAAAGTGATACATTTCGAACACATCATTTTAAAATGTTAAGTTCCTGCTGAGGTAGTTTTTGGTTCCTGAGTCTCTGGAAACTAGATCCTTAAGAAATTTTTTAAACTCATTAGAACATAATGACACACTTAAGAAAACAGTGCCTGTGTTCTTTATTGGACTCATTTATCTAATCACTTATTCAAAATACAATCGTAGAGTAGCACTATATTCAAGACACTATGTAATGTAAGATACAGAGCAATCCTTTACATTAGAAAACTTTACCCTGAGATTATCACATTGGTATTAAAATAATAAAAAATAAATAAATTATTATCTAAAGTACTTAGTTGTCAGATGTCATGGAACGACTTGCCATTGTTTGTAGTTTAATATCACTATTGCAACACTCCAAATAGCAAATGATTAAAATATTAGTGTGCTGTATATCAAAGGTGTTCAATAAATCAATTTAAAATTTTCATTTTGACATTTCTTGGAAATATTTTAAATATAAAAACATGATTTTCAAAAAAAAGATAAAGTCTTGACTCACAGCGATAAAGTAGATATATATTAAAGATTTTAGTCTACTCACACAATGAGGGAACCAGGCAAATGTTATAATCACTTCAAAGGAAAAATCATTTAAAATAGGACAAATTTATAGAGAGTGAACAAATATTGAAATAAATTGCAAATGGAGGTCCAACTGCTTTTTTTCTAAAGGTGCAGAGTCAATCAGAATTTCATGTCTATCAGTTCCTACAACATATGAAGAGCTGTAAATATAAAATAACTCAAAGACAATGAACAGGGCTAGAATCAGATAACCCTGAAACTTGTGCTGAATGTAGACAATGAATAGTTTTCATTTTAAAATATCTTTTTTTACATGACTATTAATTCATTCTCACATTGCTATAAAGATACTACCTGAGACTGAGTAATGTATAAAGAAGCAGGTTTAGGTCAAGCGTAGTAGCTCAAACCTGTAATCCCAGCACTTTGGGAGGCTGAAGCAGGTGGATCACCTGAGGTCGGGAGTTCCAAACCAGCCTGGCCAACATGGCAAAACCCCATCTCTACTAAAAATCCAAAAATTAGCTGGGTGTAGTGGCACCTGCCTGTAATCCCAGCTACTCGGGAAGCTGAGGCAAGGGAATCGCTTGAACCCAGGAGGTAGAGGTTGCAGTGAGCCGAAATCGTGCCACTGCACTCCAGCCTGGGCAACAAGAGTGAAATCCCATCTCAAAAAAAAAAAGAGGAAGCAGGTTTAACTGACTCACTGTTCCACATGGCTGGGGATGCCTCAGGAAGCTTGCAATCACAGCAGAAGGCAAAGGGGAAGCAGGCACCTTTTTCACAAGACAGAAGGAGAAAGAGAGCCAGAGAAGGGGAAGGGCGACACTTTCAAACCAGAAGATCCTGTGAGAACTCATTACCACAAGAACAGCATGCGGGGGGAACCACCTCCATAACCCAATCACCTCCCACCAGGTCCCTCCCTTGACATGGGGGGATTACAATTCGAGATGAGATTTGGATGGGGACACAGAGCCAAAGCCTATCAATGACCAAAAAGAACAGCTCAAATTTCTGTTAAGTGAAATGAAAAAAGCGGAGAGAACTGTCATTGACCTGGTACATACTCTGGTCTAGGTGCTGTGCAGTATTTTTGTGTGTGTGTCAACTTATTTCGTCCTCCCTATAACAACCATTTCATAAATGAAGAATCTAAGATTCTGAGTTTAATTATAAAGTACAAAATTTCACAAACTAGAAGACTGTCAAGTCACGAGCAGAGTTCATGTCTGTTTTACTCTAAATCTCAAGCTCATATTCTCCACTCCACAAGTACTAAAAATGCAAGTTAAAATCATGTTAAGATTTTGGGCGTGTGTGTGTTATTTTTCCAGTAGTTAAAAAAACAATGAAAAATACAGGCAAGGAGCCAGGCGCACTGCAGACAAGGAGGTGAGCACAGTGTCCCAGCTACTGGGAAGGCTGAGGTGGAAAGATGGTTTGAACCCAGGAGTTCGCAGCTGCAGTGAACTATGATCACATCATTGTACTCCAGCCTGGGTGGCAGACCAAGACCCCATCTCCTGGAATAAAAAAAAAAATACAGACAAGGAAACAGACTACAGAGAACCAAATAGGAAAAGGATAAGTTAAAAAGAGACAGAGAGATGAAAACTTCAAAAAGAATTTTAAGAAACTAATGTTTTCATAAAGTATATATTTAATTGATACCAACAACAGTCTATCATTAAATGCCTAAAGAGAAAGCAAAACATGACTAGCTAGCATATATACAGTGATTTAACAATGCCAATTAAAAGAATAAAATAAAAGCAACAGTCCTCAAATAAGCTCTTAACTATATCCTACTGCCAGTAGAAAACAAGACTTAATGAAGTAAAACAAAACTACTTTAAAGTCCCCTTCTGCCCATCCAGTTAATTATAATAGGAAATCTAGTTACAGTATGTGAATATTAGCAAAATGAAACACAATTATTTGTTCTTTCTTCTCTTTCTTTGAACCTTCAATATAAAGCTTGCCACAATTTGCATTCATTTAAGCTACGAAGATTATTTTCAGTTCTCTTACTTCTATGTATGCTAGTTTTTCTTCAGTTGCAGATTTTATGTCTTATTCTCTGAATGAGCTTCTTCTGTTCTATTTTCTATCTATATGCCCAAGACACTCTTGCTGTTAATCTTTTTATAATGTATATTAATAATCTTTGACTTAATCACTATGTATTTTGAAATTAAAATCTTCTTTCTTTTCTTTGCCTGTTATTTAAATCATAAAATAGAAATATCTATGAAAAAGACTTTTAGCACCTTATTGACAGTTGTCAGATTACAAATATACCATTTGCCAGAAGCTGACTCAGCATCCTAAAATGACATAAACAGCCCCATAATAATTTCCAGAGTACACACAACGTAAGTATTATTGTACATAAACAGAATTATTCACTTTAGAGTTTTGAGGGCACTTTGCCCAAGTGTACATCTACAGTTTGAGAAGCATTGGGTACTACCCAAATAGAGTACTCTATTTAAGTATTAACAAAGGCAATGTACGTCTACCTGACAATTTATATACTACATTCTTGTGGCTTTTATAAATTTGATAATCATAATAGTTTCAACAGCAGAAGACCAGCCTATTTTATATTAATATGGTGAAAATACTATTTATTAAAAAAAAAAACTTAGTCATCACACCAACATATACTTAGAGCTAGATACCTAAACACATGTGCCATCAACCCATAACAGGGACTCAAAAGCAAAATTTGAGCCTACTAAAGACTCCAACTCTCAACTCAATGTTAGGTGTCATTATCTCCTCTTTTCAAGCAGGTTAAAAGAAATAGCAGCTATTAGACACCTAAACTCTTAAATGACCTCCAAGAAATTTTATATGCCCAAATTTACAAGGAATATGTAGTTTAAATAAAGTTCTATTGTTATTATATCCATTAAAGTTAATCAGCCATAAGGGTGAAATAAATTGAAAACGGTAGACTTTCATTTGTATTAGGTTGTTGCTAAAGTAACTGCAGTTTTTGCATTGTTGGAATTCGCTGTTTGATGTTGGAACACATTCTTAAATTAATGTGGTTATGTCATACATCATTTTAATGGGCATTTCTCACTTTATGTTCTTTTGCTGATGACATATTACCTGCTGTTTATTTTATGTTTATTTTAGACCATGGAAATGATGTTAGACAAAAAGCAAATATGAGCAATTTTCTTATTTTAGTTCAAAACGGGTGATAAAGCAGCAGAGACAACTCGCAACATCAACAACGCATTTGGCCAAGGAACTGCTAATAAACGTACAGTGCATTGGTGGTTCAAGAAGTTTTGCAAAGGAGACAAGAGCCTTGAAGATGAAGATCACAGTGGCTGGCCATTGGAAGTTGACAACAACCAATTGAGAGCAATCATCAAGGCTGATCAACTATACAAGAGGTTGCCAAAGAACTCAACGTTGACCATTCTACAGTCATTTAGCATTTGAAGCAAACTGGAAAGGTGAAAAAGCTCAATAAGTGGGTGCCTCATGAGCTGAGCGAAAATCAAAAAAATCATCATTTTGAAGTGTTGTCTTCTCTTATTCTATGCAACAACAATGAATCATTTCTCAATCAGATTGTGACATGCAACAAAAAGTGGATTTTATATGACAACTGGCAACTACCAGCTCAGTAGGTAGACCGCAAAGAAGCTCCAAAGTACTTCCCAAAGCCAAACTTGCACCACAAAAAGTTCATGGTCACTGGTTGGTGGTCTGATGCTGGTATGATCCACAACAGCTTTCTGAATCTCAGCAAAACCACTACATCTGAGAAGTATGCTTGGCAAATCAATGAGATGCACTGAAAACTACAATGCCTGCAGCCAGCACTGGTCAACAGAAAGGGCCCAATTCTTGTCCATGACAATGCCTGACCACATGTTGCACAACCAATGCTTCAAAAGTTGAACGAATTGAGCCATGAAGTTTTGTCTCATCTGCTATATTTACCTGACCTCTTGCCAACCAACTACCGCTTTTTCAAGCATCTCAACAACTTTTTCAGGGAAAACATTTCCACAACCAGCAGGGTGCAGAAAATGCTTTCCAAGAGGTTACTGAATCCTGAAGCATGGATTTTTACACTACAGGAATAAACAACCTTGTTTCTTGTTGGCAAAAATGTGTTGATTGTAATGCTTCCTAATTTGCTTAATAAAGATGGTTCAAGCCTAGTTATAATGATTTAAAATTCATGGTCCAAAACAGAAATTACTTTTGCACCAACCTAACATTTTTTCAAAGTAAAAAAAACAAGGATACGGTGGTGAGGAAATACCTTCATATAAAGAATGTTCTGCCATAAGAGTACAGTAAAATACCAAAGTTATACCTCTTGATAAACATAAAAAACTAAAATTTACAAAAAACTTAACATTTTAACCAGAAATACCAATGCTAAAATATAGCATACTTTTAAAAAACATGAGTTGGGTATGAAGCCTCACAAACTAATCTTTAAGGTAAATATCAATCAGAAATTTAGAATATTCAGCATTTAACTCCTTAAAAAGTGATAATTTAACTATAATATGATCCTACATCTACAATGAACAAAATATAAAAAACAATTGGCTCCTATTGCATTGATGAAAGCTTTATTTGGACCAGCCACTACAAAAACACACTTAAGTACACAGACCAGTGACACTATTATAAAGCAACCACACAAACAAGTCTGCATAATAAACAGCTAACATCATGATGACAGAATCAAATCCACACATTTCAGTACTAAGCTTGAATGTAAATGGGCTAAATGCCTTAATTAAAAGGCACAGAGTGGCAAGCTGGATAAAGAACAAAGACCTAATGGTATGCTGCCTTCAAGAGACCCATCTCACATGTAATGACATCCATAGGCTCAAAATAAAGGGATGGAGAAAACTCTTAACAAGCAAATGGAAATCAGAAAAAAAGCAAGGATTACAATCCTTATGTCAGAAAAAAACAGACTTCAAACCAACAGAGATCCAAAAAGACAAGTAAGAGCATTATATAATAGCAAAGGGCTCAATTCAATAAGATCTATCTTAAATGTATATGCGACCAACACAGGAGCACCCAGATTCATAAAGCAAGGTCATAGGGACCTTCAAAGAGCCTTAGACTCCCACACAGTAATAGTGGGAGACTTCAAAACCCCACTGACAGAAATAGAGCATCAAAGCAAAAAAAAATAACTAAGATATTCAGGGCCTAAACTCAGCACTGGATCAAATGGACCTGATAAGACAACTACAGAACTCTCCACCCAGGCCAGGTGTGGTGGCTCACGCCTGTATTCCCAGCACTTTGGGAGGCCGAGGCGGGTGGATCACAAGGTCAGGAGATCGAGACCATCCTGGCTAACACGGTGAAACCCTGTCTCTAATAAAAAATACAAAAAATTAGCCAGGCGTGGTGGCGGGCATCTGTAGTCCCAGCTACTCGGAAGGCTGAGGCAGGAGAATGGCGTGAACTTGGGAGGCGGAGCTTGCAGTGAGCCGAGATCGCGCCACTGCACTCCAGCCTGGGCAACAGAGTGAGACTCCGTCGTCAAAAAAAAAAAAAAAAAAAAAAAGAAAAGAAAAGAACTCTCCACCCCAAAACAGCAGAATACACATTCTTCTCATCGCTACAGGGCATGTATTCTGAAACTGACCACACAATCAAACATAAAATGCTCCTCAACAAATGCAAAAGAACTGAAATCGTAACAAACATTCTCAGATGTGAGTGCAATAAAAATAGAATTCAAAACTAAGAAAAAAGCTCAACACCATTCAAATACATGAAAATTGAATAACCTGCTCCTGAATAACTTTGGGTAAATAATGAAGAGAAGGCAGAAATCAAGAAGTCTTTTGAAACTAATGAGAACAAAGATACAACATACCAGAATCCCTGGGACACAGCTAAGACAGTGTTAAAAGGGAAATTTATAGCACTAAATGTCCACAAAAAGAAGTTAGAAAGATCTCAATTTAACAACCTAACATCACAATTAAGAGAACTAGAAAACCAAGAGCAAAACCACCCCCAAGCTAGCAGAAGACAAGAAATAACCAAACTCAGAGCTGAACTCAAGGAGACTGGGACAAAAAAAAAAAATTCAAAAGATCAACGAATCCAACAGTTGGTTTTTTGAAAAAATTGGTAAAATAGACCACTAGCTAGACAAATAAAGAAGAAAAAAAGTAATGATCCAAATAAACACAATTAGAAACAACAAAAGGGATATTATCACTGACCACACAGGAATACAAAGAACCATTAGAGAATATTATGAACACCTCCATGCATGCAAACTAGAAAATCTAGAAGAAATGGATAAATTCCTGGACACATACACCCTCCTAAGACTGAACCAGCAAGAAATTAAATTCCTGAACAGATCAATAACAAGCTCGCAAACTGAATCAATAATAAGTAGCCTACCAACCAATAAAAGCCCAGGACTAGACATATCCACATCTGAATTCTACCAGATGTACAAAGGACAACTGGTACTATTCCTACTGAAACTATTCCAAGAAACTGAGGAAGAGGGACTTCACCCTAATTCATTCTATGAGGTCAACATCACCCTGATACTAAAACCTTTCAGATATACAACGAAAAATAATTATTTCATGCCAATATCCTTGATGAACATCAATGCAAAAACACTTGTGGCAAACCAAATCCAGCAGCACATCAAAAACCTACAATCAAGGAGGCTTTATCCCTGGGATGCAAGGTTGGTTCAACATTCTTAAATTAATAAATATGATTCATCACCTATATAGAACTAAAGACAAGAAACACATGATTATCTCAATAGATGCAAAAAAAGGCTTTTGATAAAATTCAACATTCCTTCATGTTAAAAACTCTCAATAAACTAGGTATTGAAAGAACATGCCTCAAAATAATGAGACACATGACAAACCCACAGCCAACATCATACTGAATGGACAAAAGCTGAAAGCATTTCCCTTGAAATCCAGCAAAAGACAAGGATGCCCTTTCTCATCCCTCCTATTCAACATACTATTGGAAGTCCTGGACAGAGCAATCAGGAAAGAGAAAGAAATAAAGTACATCCAAATAAAAAGAAAGGAAGTCAAACTATTCCTGCTTGCAGACAACATGATTCTATATCTAGAAAACCCCACTGTGTCCACCCAAAAGCTCCTTAAGCTGGTAACTTCAGTGAAGTCTTGGGATACAAAATATCAATATACAAAAATCACTAGCATTCCTATTACACCAACAACAGTCAAGCTGAGAGCAAAATTAGGAACATAATCTCATTCACAATTGCCACAAAAAGAATAAAATAACTAGGAACACAGCTAACCAAGGAGGTGAAAGACCTCTACAATGAGAAATACAAAACACTGCTCAAAGAAATCAGAGATAACACAAATAAATGCAAAAGCATTCCACACTCATGGATAGAAAGAATCAATATCATTAAAATGGCCATACTGCCCAAAGCAATTCATATATTCAATGCTATTGCTATTCAACTACCAATGACATTCTTCACAGAACTAGAAAAACCTATTTGAAAATTCATATGGAACCAAAAAATAGCCAAAGCAATCCTAAGCAAAGAAAACAAAACTGGAGGCATTATGCTACCTGACTTCAAATTGTACTACAGGAGGACTACAGTAACCAAAACAGCATGCTATTGCTACAAAAACAGATCCACAGACTGATGGAACAGGAGAGAGACCCGAGAACTAAGGCCTCACACCTACAACATCACATTTTTTACAAAGCTGAGAGAAGCAAGCAATGGGGAAAGGACTCCCTATTCAATAAATAGTGCTGGGATAACTAGTTAGCCACATATAGAAGATTGAAACTGGACCCCTTCCTTACACTATATACAAAAATTAACATAAGAGTGGATTAAAGACTTAAATGTAAAACTCAAAACTATAAAATCTCTGGAAGACAACCTAGGCAATACCATTCTGGACACAGGAACAGGCAAAGTGTTCATGACAAACATGCCAAAAGCAATTGCAACAAAAGCAAAAACTGGCAAATGGGATCTAATTAAACTAAAGGGCTTCTGCACAGCAAAAGAAAGTATTAATACAGTATACAGACAATCTACAGAATGGGAGAAAATATTTGCAAACTAGATATCTGACAAAGATCTGATATCCAACATCTATAAGGAACTTATACACATTTACAAGAGAAAAACAGCCCCATTAAAAACTGAGCAAAGGACATGAACACTTTTTAAAAGAAGACATACATGCAGCCAACAAGCATATGAAAAAAAGCTGAACATCACTGATCACTAGAGAAATGCAAATCAAAACCAGAGTAAGATACTATTTCATACCAGTCATAATGGCTATTATTAAAAAGTCAAAAAAATAATAGATGCTGGCTAGGTTGCAGAGAAATAGAAACACTTATACACTGTTGGTGGGAGTATAAATTAGTTTAACCACTGTGGAAACGCTGTGTGGCAATTCCTTAAAGAACTAAAAACAAACTACTATATGACCCAATAGTCCCCCCATTACTGGGAATATACCCAAAGAAATATAAATTGTTGTATCATAAAGACACATGCAAGTGTACATTTACTGCAGCATTTCACAATAGCAAAGACATGGGATCAACCTAAATGGCCATCAGTGGATGAACTGGATTTTAAAAATGTGTTATATGTACACCATGGAATACTATGCAGCCATAAAAAGGAATGAGATCATGTCCTTTGCAGGAACATGGATGGAGCTAAAATCCATTATTACCCTTAGCAAACTAATACAGAAACAGAAAGCCAAAAACTCTATGTTCTCACTTATAAGTGGGAGCTAAATGATGAGAACACATGGAGAGAAACAACAGACACTGGGGCCTACCAGAAGGTGGAGGGTGGGAGGAGGGAGAAGATCAGGAAAAATAACTAATGGGCACTAGGCTTAATATCTGGGTGATGAAATAATCTGTACAACAAACCCCCATGGCACAGGTTTACTTATATAACAAACCTTCACACGTAACCTTGAACTTAAAATAAAAGTTTTTTAAAAAGAAGCTTTATTTTAATGTCTATGAAGGTATAACTTAGATAAGAAAAAAAAAACTTCTTTATTGGAAGTTTAAAATACCTTAAATATATACTTAGCTCTTTGTGTTCCCTTGACTCAAGCCACTTCCAATTAGAAAGCATACTGTAGAAAAAGAACTTGGATTTGAGAACTAGATTCACATCCCAGTTCTACATTAGAGCTCAGTACTCCAGGGTAGACACTGAGCCTTAGGTTCCTCATTTAAAAAATGAGCAGAACAACATTATTTTTCTTTTAAAAGTTTTATGATAAATAATTATAATGATTTGCGAATTGCTTTACGAAGTAAAATTATCAGAATAATCATCAAATAGGTGATCAAAACATAGATATGCAAAGTCTCCTAAATAAAGGAGAGCTAGCTATTCCCAAGCCAGAAAGACTAAAATACAAAATATTAATTTATCCAGTTAATATATTTAGATAAATAATAAGATCAATCAGAAAGATTGGGAAATCAGCCATAGAAACTTAAATAAAGGAAATAAATTTAAATAAAGAAACACAGATAAACACTGGCAGGGTTCATCTAAGTATTATCCAGAGAAAGGGCACTTAAGCCAACATTTTAAATTTTGCCAGTCCTATTGGCAAATTGCTGCAATATCATTAAACTCGATTTATTTAATTCTCTTTATTCCAATTCCAAGCTCATTATGTACCTTTTGATCATAATATGACTTAACATTTGTTCTGCATGTAGGGAGAGAATGGACCTTGAGTATTCCAGTCTCTGGCACAGAAATTTCTCCTTGTAAATTAACTTAACATTCAGGCTTCATATTTAAGTTTCATAAGCTTAGCTTGTCTCTGAGAGGTGGATTTATTCTCAATATAGTGATAAAATGAGATTAGTGAGTCTGCAAGATTCAGTTTCCAACCTCGAACAGGAGCAAATTCAACAAGAAAATAACTGTTCATCTCGAAAGCCCCTTCAGAGAAACTCTGAAAAACTTCTCACTTGGTTATGACATCCCAGTGTCTGCAAACGAGACAGCATATAGAAGAAACCTTAGATAACCATTTCAATCCTCTCCATTTTCACATTTTACAATTAATAAGTTCTAAAAAAAATCAAGTATTGCCTAAATTATCCTGTCAAACATTAACAGATTAAGACTACAATGGACATTTTCTGATTCCTAAAAGCAGTGCTCTTTCCACCAACCCTCCATACTAGAATTCCGTTTAGAGAATATTCCTCAAAAAACGTTGAGTTCATACAAAGAGAGTTATGTTTCACATAGTAAAAACCTTACTTCATTAGAATGTTTGTAGGAAGAGACAGTTAATATACGCTATTTCACAGGTGGTAGTCCAACGACTAGGCAAAAAAAGAAAGAATATATCTCAGAGTAAACAGCCTATCTTTAATCCTCACTGTTGACCACGAATACAGTCATGCTACTTTCATCCCAACATATACAATTCATTAAACCTAAGTAATATCTGGTCGTATTTAAGGAGATGGAGAAGGACTGGCTAACAATCACTATTTCTTTTTCTTTTTTTTTTTTTGAGACCTAGTTTCACTCTTGTTGCCCAGGTTGGAGAGCAATGGCGCGATCTCGGCTCACCACAATTTCCACCTCCTGGATTCAAGCGATTCTCCTGCCTCAGCCTTCCTGAGTAGCTGGGATTACAGGCATGTGCCACCACACCTGGCTAATTTTATATTTTTAGTAGAGATGGGGTTTCCTCATGTTGGTCAGGCTGGTCTTGAACTCCTGACCTCAGATGATCCGCCCACCTCAGCCTCCCAAAGTGCCGGGATTACAGGCATGAGCCACTATGCCCGGCCAACAATCACTATTTCTATAGATATGCATTAAATACAAAAAAGTATAATCACAAAGGGTGAAAGCAAAGGGTGCTAGACAGTCCAGAAAGCCTAATTTGCATTAGACATCTTCAAAAGCTACCTGTGCACACTAAAATTTTAGCAAGAAAACAAAGTTTATCAGTATTCCATATAACAAGAAGTACATGCCTAGAAAACTCCTTTTTTCCAATACTCCAATGGAAAAAAACCTACTCAATATAAAAAAAAAGAAGAAGAAAGGCTGTATCATGAATGTTTACAATTAGAAAGAGTGCTATCCTTATATAAGAAACACTTTAGAAATTCCTGTTAAATATGCTACAAGAGAAATCTGATTTCAGAAGAACCAGACCATGTCAAACACACTCACTGCTGAAAAAGAATAGCATGCCTGGCAGAGACAAACATACCCCCACTAAATTCATTACTAACACAGATTGTGCATCCCTAATCCAAAACCCTGAAATCTAAAATAATCCAAAATTTGACACTTTTTGAGCATCCACATGATATCATAAATGGAAAATTCTGCACTTGATCCCATGTGACAGGTCACAGTCAAAATTTCATTTCATATTTAAAAAATCTTTAAAATATTGTATAAAATTACATTCAGGCTATATGTATAAGCTATACATAAAACACAAATTTCATGTTTACACTTGGGTCTCATCCCCAAGAAATACTATATATATGCAAATATTCCAAAATCCGAAAAACTCTTATCATCTGCAAAACTTCCAGTCTCAAGCATTTTGGGTAAGGGATACTCAACCTTTACACAACCATTAACTTTCATGAAACAAAAAAAATGTGCCACTGCTATACACCAATAATGACCAAGCTAAGAATCAAATCAAGAACTCAATCCCATTTACAACAGCTGCAAAATAAATAAAATACCTAAGAATATACTTAACCAAGGAAATGAAACATCTACACAGGAACAACAAAAGACTGATGAAAGAAATCATAGATGATACAAGCAAATGGAAAAACATACCATATTCATGGATAGGAAGAATCAATATTATGAAAATGACCATGCTCCCCAAAGGAATCTACAGATATAATGCAATTCCTATCAAAATACCAACATCATTTTTCACAGAACTAAAAAAAAAAAAAAATCCTAAAATTCATATGGGACCAAAAAAAAAGCTCAAAGAAACAAATCCTAAGCAAAAGGGAAAAATCTGAAGGTATCACATTACCTGACTTCAAATTATACTACAAGGCTATAGTAACCAAAACAGCATGGAACTGGTACAAAAGTAGACACATAGGCCAATAGAACAGAATGGAGAACCTAGAAATACAGCCAAATACCTACAACCAACTGATCTTTAACAAAGCAGATAAAAATATAAATTTGGGAAAGGACACCATACTATTAAATAAATAGTACTGGGAAAATTGGATAACCACATGTAGAAGAATAAAACGGGATCGCTATCTCTCACCATATGTAAAAACTAACCCAAGATGTATTAAAGACTTAAATCTAAGACCTGAAACCATAAAAATTCTAGGAGAAAACCTAAGAAAAATGCTTCTGGACATTGGCCTAGGCAGAGAATTTATGACTAAGATCCCAAATGCAAATGCAGTAAAAACAAAAATAAATAAATTGAACCTCATTAAACTACCTTTATGAAAATAGTATGGAGCTTTCTCAAGGAACTAAGAGTAGAGCTACCATTTGATCCAGCAATCACACTAGAGGATATCTACCCAAATGAAAAGGAATCATTATATCAAAAAGACATCTGCAAGTGTATGTTTATCACAGCACAATTCACAAATGCAAAGATAAAGAATCAATCTAAGTGCCTATCAACCAACAAGTGCATAAAGAAAATGTGGTATATATACACCATGGAATACCACTCAGCCATATAAAAGAATGAAATATTGTCTTTTGCAACAACTTGGATGGAACTGGAGGCCATTATCTAAGTGAAGTAAGTCAGGAACAAAAGAACAAATACTACATGTTCTCACTTATAAGTGGTAGCTAAGCTGTGGTTATGCAAAAGCACACAGAGTAGTCAGCTTCTATAATAAATAGCATCATTATCCCCCAATGCTCCTTAAATCATCTTAATTAGATTTAACTTGGAGTAAAAAAATGTTTTGTATTGGTAGGATGGTGGAAATTATCGAAGGTAAGAAAAATAAAACGCATTACCAACTTAACGGTAGTACGTGAGGCTGTATTTTATTCATTGTAAATATTCTGAGTAAAGTTCATCTTCATTCTTTTAGTTATCCTTTTTGTCTTTTACCTGAGATATATGTACATTTCTACCTTTAAGTTATGATATTCAGAAGGCTCCTTTATCTTTTAAAATATCTTTTCAATCAATATTTCAATTCAACAGTTTACAAGTCTTTTCTATACATGCACAGATAAGAGAAATAGGAGAAATATTCAAACAGATTTTCGCACTGTTAACATTAAATCCAAGGTACTATGGGATAAGTCAAACCAAAAAAGTATGTCCTTTCAGCAACAATGGTCAGCAAGTTTCTGAAAACTTACAAAACTGCAAAAACAGAAACAAGATCAAAAGACTGGGTTAAAATCATTCCCTTTTAATTATGTCAGCTACTTTCTATACACTACTCTAACAACACTGTTGCTAATGGCAGACTAAGGAAAAATAATAATTATTATAGCAAAACCTATACTTAAATAGATTCAGAGAAACATACACATACACAAAAGAAAATAAGAATACTGTGATAGCCTTTTGAAATGTCAACTTGGATAAGCTAGTAATGAAACACTAATCTAGATGTTGCTGTGAAGGTATTTTGTATGTGATTAAAGTCCATAATAAGTTTACTTTAAGTAAGAGATTACCCTAGATAATTATGGCCTGATTCAATCATTTGAAGGGTCTTAAAAAGCAGAGTTGAGACTTCCCTAGTAAAGGAGAAATTCTGTGTGTGGACTGCAGTTTCAACCTGTGCCTATGGGTTCTAACCCGCCCTTCCTGATGGAACAGCCTATGAATTTCAGACTTGTCTAGTCAGCTCCACACTCATGTAAGCTAACTATTTATAACATGTATCTCCTACTGGGTCTGCTTCTCTGGTTGAACCATGACTGATACAAATACCATGTCCATACAACAATGATACTGAAATCTTTCCTAAAATTGCTTAATGAATAAAAACTTCCAAATTTATTAAGACTAAATAGCATTAAGACCAAATAGACTACTGCCAAATATCAATGCTTCAAACACTTTCTAGAAAAAGTAATTGATAAATGAAGACATACAGAGATGGAAAAAAATGGACAGTACAAGTCTCAAACAGAAAGCCATATTGCATAGGATATCTTTTTATTTATTTATTTTTTTAGACAGAATCTCATTCTGTCACCAAAGACAGAATAAAATGGTACAATCATGGCTGACTGCAGTCTCCAACTCCTGAGCTCAAGTGATCATCTCACCTCAGACTTAAAAGTAGCTGGGACTACAGATGCATGCCACCATACCTGGCTTTTTTTTTTTTTTTAAAGAAACGCGGTCTCACTATGTTGCACCGGTTGGTCTTGAGCTCCTGGCCCCAAGTGATCTTCTTGCCTCAGCCTCCCAAAGTGCTGAGATTACAAGTATGAGCCACTGCATCAGGCTGCACAGTATATCTCAATAAAAGGTTTAGTAACTCACTAATCATTAATTAGCAATTATCTTTAATAGAAGGGTATTTACAAAGGTATACAAATCATTTACCTATATGTTCTTCTAATCCAAGATCTAATCCATCACCATTATAGACATATAGACTATAAAAAGAATTCTATATTATATATTACTCATTCAACAGAAATGACAACTACAGTAAGATCAGTTATTACCTCACAGACAGAATGTTTTTACAGCTAGTGTCATGTTGTAAATGCAGTATTTCAGACTGAATTAAACCATAAAACACACTCAGATGGTAAATCCAAACATCAGAGATGTATACAGGAAAAAAAAGTGAAAGACCTATAAGAAATAGTTACAAGAGTAGAAGAATTTGAAAGTAATATACAAAAATAATTTTTTCTCTTCACATATAAAACATAAAAGATTTATTCAACTGTATAAGATTATTAAAAAGTTCTACTAAAATCTTATAGTATTATCAAAATACAAGCATGACTGCTAGTTTAAATAGATCAAATACAGGAGAAAAGAATTGTGTACTTTCTGTTCTAGTCTGTACACTGACTTTTTAAAAGGTGACACTCTGCTCATATCAGAGTGCCTTTGAGACAAATTTTTAAAAAGAATCAAATACATTTGGAGATTTAATTCCATTTCCTCTGTTTATATTCTCAACTACTCAAATGAAGGAGGCAGATAAATATGAGCTATATCTAAAATAGTAGATATGATGTTATCATATTTTAGACCACACCCGACTGCATAAACAAAAGTGTATGAACACTGCATCGTATATATACACAGAGATATTACAAAGAAAATATATTGTTTTTTAATCTGTCCAGCACCATGAGAATATGCTTTACAGAAAGAAAAATAAAGTTTCTAGCATTTTTTCATGTAATATTCTATTAATTCAACCAAAACTTATAATGTGCTAGTACAAAAAAAAAAGGATTTAGTGGAATAGACAAACTTCCCTAGAAATTTCAAGTGGAAAGATTTAATATAGGGAAATTTCTAATTACAAAATCATAATTGAAAGAGCTGGAGGACCAAAAGTTGAGTCAGGAAAGTGAGGAGTGGGATCAGCAGCTTTCCATTTACTCTCCCACCAAAGTGATTCAGAACCAGAAAGGAGCTGGTGCCTCCCTTCCCAGGGTCAGGAAATGCATGGTTTAGTTCAGTGGAATATTTGTTTTGTGCATCAAAATCTAGGCCAGTAAGTCTTCACCTTAAGAATAGATTGCTCTGAGAATCTAAAAGAAGTTATGAACTTCTCTCCTAGGAAAGTCTATATACTTATACGTGCATGACTTCTGTACTTAACTTGAGGGGTCTCATAAGATGCTATTTCAAAGTTTTATTAAAGAGGATACAAATATAAACAAGACAGTTTCCCAATCCTAAAGCTCACATTCTAGAAAAGATACAGAGACAAACTTTTATATCACATAAAAGATTTGGAAGATTAAAATACAAGTACAGTGAAGAAAAGGATTACATCATATTTAAAAAAAAAAGACTTCACAAAACTAATGATCCTAAGGTAAGCTTAATATATGACACAGAGCTTGCAAGAGAGGAAAGGTAAGAAAAAGAGGAAAATGAGTATTTAAACAGCACCATATCAAGCATATATACACATTTAATCTTTAATAGTATATATTATCATTGTAATCGTATATGCATAATTAACTATTGTACATATTAATATACCTGTATATAAGTTATATAATATGTATGCATGTATATGTGCATATTCACACTTGATTTTCACAATACTTTTTTAAAGTATATATTATTACCATTTTACAAATAAAGAAACAGGTACTTGAAAGGCTAATTAAGTTGACCAAGGTTACATAGCTGTTAATGGTGAAGCCAGGATTCATATCCAAGTCTGTATAATTCTTACTAGGACTTTCCAGGCAAAGAGAACAGCATATTAAAAGCTACAGAGTCATGAAACCACAGGATGTGTTTAGGGAACAGCAAGTACTTCAATATAATTGAAAAGTAAAGAGTTCAAAAGGAACATGATGATTACAGACACTCCAGTCCTAACTATACTGAATAAACAAAAAGACTTGAGAAAGACTTATACAGGTAGTTATCTGGCTTATGCTCCTAGATGAACAGTGATTTTATTAAGTGCGAAAAGAAATAAGAGTTCAAGTGTGGAACAGTAAAAGGGGAGATATGTTTTAGAGATGCTGACTTTAAGTTACATATTGATCAAGGCAGGAAGGCTCCAAAGAAGGGTCAAGAATGATGGCATAAATCTGGATATCTTCAATTAAAAGATTTCATCGAAGTGAAAATATAAAAGGATCAAGGACAAAACCCTAAAAACAATTGTTAAGAGGAAGGGAGAGAGAAGATAAGTAAAGAAGTCAAAAGGGAAGATCAGAATAGTAGGAAAGAACCAGGGGTATGCAGTGTCATGACTGACAATGAAAAAGAGACTAGCTAACAGTATAAAATGCCACAGACGAAACTAAACAGTAATTAATGAAAAAGAACAGTCACTTCAAAATTTGGGATTAGGCAGGCTAGAGGACTGACAGAAAAGCTCAGTAGAGAAAGAGCCATTTAAACTGGGCTATGAAGGAAGAGTGTGATCTGAACATGCGGAGATGGAGAAAATGTTTTAGCTGAATAGCACAACCAGAACAAAGAACCAGAAGTAGGAACAAATTGCAAATATGTGCCGGGAGGTACAAAGTAATTTTCAGTTTCACTGGGCCACTAGTATGACAAGGATAACAGTGAATGAAAAGTCTACAGTCTGGCTACTACCAGATCACAAAGGCCCTTGAAAGAGAGACAAAAGAACTTAGGGTAGTTCTAAACTAACTACTATGTAAAGATGACTACATAAAAATTATTTTGGAAACCATGTATAGAATGAATTACAAGGCAAAGAAACCAGTTAAATTAGTATTATAATAGCCCAGATGAGATGTTAAATCTGACCTACTTGATCAAAGTGAAAAAAAGGAGGAGGGTTGATGCAAGAAATAGAAAAAAATTGACTACAGGTTGAGTACTCCTTACTCAAAATGCTTGAGACCAGAAGTATTCAGATTTCAGAATATTTACCATCCCAAATTTGACAGTCCCAAATCCAAAATTCTCTAATAAGCATTTGCTTTCAGCATCATGTAAGTTTTGGATTTTGGAGCATTTCACAGTTTGGATTTTTGGATTTGGGATGTTCAACCTATAATGGTACTTACCAAATGCAGTTGTATTCAGTTTTTGCTAAAAGTTAAATAACTGAATTAGCTAAAAGTCAATATAATTTTAAAATAAAGAACATCTGACATACCAAAAATTTATTATCCTCATCAAAGAAAAAACCCAAACTGTAATTTAATTGAGGTAATACCTATAGAATTCATGATGAGTATTAGAAATTCCCTTTGTGACAATGTCATTTATAAATCTCTAAAATGTTCAATACTATGAAGAAGGTCAGTTTTGGGGTTATTGTTATAAAAATATATTTGAACCCAGGCTTTTTCAGTTCTCAGACATTTGTTAATTTTAACATCTACTCTGCGTGATCTTACAGAGAAATATTTAACATTACTTACCAAACTTGTAACTATATCACTGTAAGTTATAAGCTTATGAAATATGGCTTCAATTAGCCTTTAGGAAAACTGATACCATATCTCTGAAATTTCATTTCCCGTAAGTCTTAGCAGGTAAGCAAAACATAATTAAAAATTTAATACCTAATACAAACAGCTGAAATTTCTCTAAATTACACACATAACTGTATATAAACCTTTAAAAATATACATATAATTTTCAACAGATGAACACAGGGATTATAGCACAGATTCTGTAACATTCGATTTTTTTGTTAGCTTACAAAAATCTTAACTAATATTCACAATGGGCAAAACAATAAACAGTTTTTCTAAAGTAAATTTGACCAGTTAAATTTCTATACTCTCAAACATAAAAAAATCACTGTCCTTTTATGAAAATGAAAAAAATCATTTGCCCCAAGACCTTGAAAGGCTGGTTCAGACTCAAGAACCTAACAGTACTCAGCAATCTGAATAAGGCAAATACTACAATCTACCCCTCAGCCAAGATCTTTATCAATTTATGAGTTACACAGGGAACTGCACACTGTATATGATAGAAACAGGAAAATGTGAAACATTTTCCACCATTCATATAATTTATATCCTTCCCATTAAGAGAAAGAAAATAGTTATTTTCCTCATGCACTTGTGAAGTATGATTGCCTGTTTATTTCACTTTACTGTAGGAGATTCTAGAAAACAAATATATCTCTTTGGTTTACACCCAGTGAATCCAAAATGACATCAGGTTTATTCAACAGTACTATCATTACCAATAATAATTCCCTTTCTTTTTAAAGAAAAATAACTCAAAAATTCTGAAAATCATATATATTACATGATTAAATATACACACACAAACATACATACATACAATATTCTATTACATAAAGATGCCAAATGTCTTTAAAAATAATCAAGGAATATAAATTCATAAATTACTTACATAGGTCATGGATCTAAGAAAAAAAGAATTTTTAGGAGTGGTGAGAGAGGGCATCCCTGTCTTGTGCCAGTTTTCAAAGGGAATGCTTCCAGTTTTTGTCCATTCAGTATGATATTGGCTGTGGGTTTGTCATAGATAGCTCTTATTATTTTGAGATACGTCCCATCAATACCTAATTTATTGAGAGTTTTTCGCATGAAGGGTTGTTGAATTTTGTCAAAGGCCTTTTGGGCATCTATTGAGATAATCATGTGGTTTTTGTTTTTGGTTCTGTTTATATGCTGGATTACGTTTATTGATTTGCATATGTTGAAACAGCCTTGCATCCCAGGGATGAAGCCCACTTGATCATGGTGGATAAGCTTTTTGATGTGCTGCTGGATTTGGTTTGCCAGTATTTTCTTGAGGATTTTTGCATCGGTGTTCATCAGGGATATTGGTCTAAAATTCTCTTTTTTTGTTGTGTCTCTGCCAGACTTTGGTATCAGGATGATGCTGGCCTCATATAATGAGTTAGGGAGGATTCCCTCGTTTTCTATTGATTGGAATAGTTTCAGAAGGAATGGTATCAGCCCCTCCTTGTACCTCTGGTAGAATTCGGCTATGAATCCATCTGGTCCTGGACTTTTTTTGGTTGGTAAGCTATTACTTACTGCCTCAATTTCAGAGCCTGTTATTGGTCTATTCAGAGATTCAACTTCTTCCTGGTTTAGTCTTGGGAGGGTGTATGTGTCGAGGAATTTATCCATTTCTTCTAGATTTTCTAGTTTATTTGCATAGAGGTGTTTTATAGTATTCTCTGATGGTAGTTTGTATTTCTGTGGGATGGGTGGTGATATCCCCTTTATCATTTTTTATTGCATCTATTTGATTCTTCTCTCTTTTCTTCTTTATTAGTCTTGCTAGAGGTCTATCAATTTTGTTGATCTTTTCAAAAAACCAGCTCCTGGATTCATTGATTTTTTGAAGGGTTTTTTGTGTCTCTATCGCCTTCAATTCTGCTCTGATCTTAGTTATTTCTTGCCTTCTGCTAGCTTTTGAATGTGTTTGCTCTTGCTTCTCTAGATCTTTTAATTGTGATGTTAGGGTGTCAATTTTAGATCTTTCCTGCTTTCTCTCGTGGGCATTTAGTGCTATAAATTTCCCTCTACACACTGCTTTGAATGTGTCCCACAGATTCTGGTATGTTGTGTCTTTGTTCTCGTTGGTTTCAAAGGGGATGCCCTCTCTCACCACTCCTATTCAACATAGTGTTGGAAGTTCTGGCCAGGGCAATCAGGCAGGAGAAGGAAATAAAGGGGATTCAATTAGGAAAAGGGGAAGTCAAATTGTCCCTGTTTGCAGATGACATGATTGTATACCTACAAAACTCCATCGTCTCAGCCCAAAATCTCCTTAAGCTGATAGGCAACCTCAGCAAAGTCTCAGGATACAAAATCAATGTACAAAAATCACAAGCATTCTTATACACCAATAACAGACAAACAGAGAGCCAAATCATGACTGAACTCCCATTCACAATTGCTTCAAAGAGAATAAAATACCCAGGAATCCAACGTGCAAGGGACGTGAAGGACCTCTTCAAGGAGAGCTACAAACCACTGCTTAATGAAATAAAACAGGATACAAACAAATGGAAGAACATTCCATGCTCATGAGTAGGAAGAATCAATATCGTGAAAATGGCCATACTTCCCAAGGTAATTTATAGATTCAATGCCATCCCCATCAAGGTACCAATGACTTTCTTCACAGAACTGGAAAAAACTACTTTAAAGTTCATGTGGAACCAAAAAAGAGCCTGCATCACCAAGTCAATCCTAAGCCTAAAGAACAAAGCTGGAGGCATCATGCTACCTGACTTCAAACTACACTCCAAGGCTACAGTAACCAAAACACCATGGTACTGGTACCAAAACAGAGACACAGACCAATGGAACAGAACAGAGCCCTCAGAAATAATGCTGCATATCTACAACTATCCGATCTTTGACAAACCTGAGAAAAACAAGAAATGGGGAAACGATTCCCTGTTTAATAAATGGTGCCGGGAAAACCAGCTAGCCATATGCAGAAAGCTGAAACTGGATCCCTTCCTTACACCTTATACAAAAATTAATTCAAGATGGATTAAAGACTTAAATGTTAGACCTAAAACCATAAAAACCCTAGAAGAAAACCTAGGCAATACCCTTCAGGACATAGGCCTGGGCAAGGACTTCATGTCAAAAACACCGAAAGCAATGGCAACAAAAGCCAAAATTGACAAATGGGATCTAATTAAACTAAAGAGTTTCTGCACAGCAAAAGAAACTACCATCAGAGTGAACAGGCAACCTACAGAATGGGAGAAAATTTTTGCAATCTACTCGTCTGACAAAGGGCTAATATCCAGAATCTACAATGAACTCAAACAAATTTACAAGAAAAAAACAAACAACCCCATCAAAAAGTGGGCGAAGGATATGAACAGACACTTCTCAAAAGAAGACATTTATGCAGCCAAAAGACACATGAAAAAATGCTCATCATCACTGGCCATCAGAGAAATGCAAATCAAAACCATAATGAGATACCATCTCACACCAGTTAGAATGGCAATCATTAAAAAGTCAGGAAACAACAGGTGCTGGAGAGGATGTGGAGAAATAGGAACACTTTTACACTGTTAGTGGGACTGTAAACTAGTTCAACCATTGTGGAAGTCAGTGTGGCAATTCCTCAGGGATCTAGAACTAGAAATACCATTTGACCCAGCAATCCCATTACTGGGTATATACCCAAAGGATTATAAATCATGCTGCTATAAAGACATGTGCACACGTATGTTTACTGCGGCACTATTCACAATAGCAAAGACTTGGAACCAACCCAAATGTCCAGCAATGATAGACTGGATTAAGAAAATGTGGCACATATACACCATGGAATACTATGCAGCCATAAAAAAGGATGAGTTCATGTCCTTTGTAGGGACATGGATGAAGCTGGAAACCATCATTCTCAGCAAACTATCAGAAGGACAAGAAACCAAACACCGCATGTTCTCACTCATAGGTGGGAACTGAACAATGAGAACACATGGGCACAGGGAGGGGAACATCACACACAGGGGCCTGTTGTGGGGTGGGGGGAGGGGGAAGGGATAGCATTTGGAGATATACCTAATGTTAAATGACGAGTTACTGGGTACAGCACACCAACATGGCACATGTATACATATGTAACTAACCTGCACATTGTGCACACGTACTCTAAAACTTAAAGTATAATTTAAAAAAAAAGAATTTTTATACAAGCACAGTTGACATCATTTCTAATTAGGCCATAAGCATATATTACAATAATGATACAATACTCTAAAGTGCATTAAAGGTACAAATGTCTTAGCAGTAGAAACACACTAATATCAGAATCTAGCACATAAGGTCCCCATATGCTTCCTTTTCACATGAATAGTTTTTCACTTTTGAGAGCATTACGGCATCAAATAGCAGAATATATGAATAAAGAGAAGGAGGAAGGAAAGAAAGAAAATTGAAATTATAAATTCAATGGACAGATTTACATCACCTTAGACAATAAAGAAGTAGTGAAATAAAAGCCATATCTGAAATTACTCAGATGGCAGAACAGCCAAAACGTGAAAAAGAGGTTAATGGACATAGTAGAGAGAGTTTTTTAATTTTTTTTCAAAAAAAAAAAAAAGCGACTTTACTAACACTAACTAGAGTTCCAGAAGGAGAAAGAGAATGGAGCAACAACAACATTGGTAAAAACAACGGCCAAGAATTTTCAGAAGTAATAAAACTTCCCATAATTAATTTGTTGAGCTTTTTGGGCTTCTTAAATCTAAAGATTCAATCCATACATTCAGAAGCCCAAAAAATTCTAATCAAAGAAAATAAGGTATCTTTATGTAGTATATCACAGTAAAACTACAGAACAATTACATAGTGTTAAATCATGAAGTGATCCAGAAAGAAAAGAGCAATTATCTTCAATGGAACAACAACTAATGGAATCAACTAACTTCCCAAAACAATTACGGAAATCAGAAGATGGCGGAGTAATATCTACGTTGTGCAGACCAAAGAAATAACTGTCAATTTAAAAGCTAGAGGAATCTATCTAACAAGAATAAGTATTTCCAAACAAGCATAATACTGCTAATAATAATGTCTTGTGGACTTATATATATAATATCTATATTTATATATAATATATAGCATATATTATGTATTGAGTATGTATTTCATATGCATATACAATACTTATATATATACACATTTAAAATGCTACACAATAGCATAATAACAAAAGAATAAATTAATAAATTTCAAATGTTCCACATTCTTTGTATTTTTCAAGAGGAGGCTAAAGATACTAATTAGTTTCAGGTTTTAGTGAGTTAAGAATGCTTATGAAAATTTCCAGGGATACTACGGAAAGAAAAGAAGCAGAGTACATAACTTCCAAACTAATAACTTTCTTTGGCCAAAAAGCAATCAAATTAGAAAACAATAACAATAAAAAGCAATCAAATTAGAAAACAATAACAATAAAAACAACTGGAAAAGCCCCATACTTGGAAATTACGAAATACTTTTTAAAAAATTCAAGTATCACTTAATCTGAAAATTGTAATTTAAAAATAAAATTGGCAAGATACAGTTAAAGCAGTAATCAGAGGGAAAATCATAGCCTGGAATACTTCTGTCTGAAAAGAAAGGTTAAAAGTAGTAAGATAAGCATAAAATTTACAAAATTAGGAAAAATATAATAAACAATAAAATAGACAATAGAAAATAATGATCATGAAAGAGAAATTAATCAGAAAACAAATATAAAATTGACAGTGTATCTACATTGCCAAAAGTTAACACTTGAAAACATGCTCTCTGTTTCCCTCTGTCTCTGCTGTAAAGCTTTTTGTAAGCCCTGCCTCCCTTAACATCATAGGCGTTTGCCTTGCTAATCCTGAGTTGAACTCAAACACTGCCTGTATCTGATATTCTTCCTAGCTATAATGCGGTACCTACCTCACTCTCTCTATCCCTTTATTACACGCTATGCTGGCACTCCATATCTCCCCTTAAAAGTGTATCCTAGTCATAATTAAGTAAGAATCTGAATAATTATTTAATTTCGGTGTACCTTACTAGTTTGCAAAAGCCAGGAAGGCAAACATCTTGTTTGTCTTGTTTGTTCCCCATTGTCTCACCTGTGCTTGATATACAATAATTTGTTGAATGGGGGAGAAATCAAACAATAGAAGGTTGAACGTAAACAGTCTTACCTCCTAACGTCAAGCAGGATCATAACCAATGAGAATCTAGTTTGTCTTTTAAAAAATCAGGAGAAGTAAATTTCACAAATTTAATCAAACATATTCCATCGACGCAAAATACTTGTGTTTAGATTATAAGACCAAGGGTTGAAATTACTTTAAGGTTGCTCCTTTAGGAACCTAATGGATTGATGAGTTGAGTAAATGTTTATTCGCACATTTAATGTACAATTCTATCAGCAAATGTTTCCTTGAAATAAAATTAACATTGTGTTCGTAAATTTTTAAGAGATGAAGAAAAGTAACAGTTGATTTACATAACTAAAGCATTTCTTAATAATCAAATTGTGTGTAATATTTGATTACAGTATTTTGTCAACGCTGTATTGTCAGCCACATTGAATTAAAGTTTCCTCCAAACCAGCTAAATCACCTTTTATCCACTTTTCTATGGCCTCAGACTTGACAGATACAAAATGATCAAACTCTTCATATCTTTAGCAAACTTTCTATAGGATTAAGTTTAAGTAATACCTTCCCTATTGATTCACAGTTCTAAAGTATATCTCTAAACATCTTTGTGTTCTAAGTACTTTAGGCAGTCTCTGTGATTTATTCTAAAATTACTTGGGAAGGTCCATTAACTAAAACAATCTATCTGAGGAGGTCCACAATAAAACTAGCCTTTAACACAGTCACTCCAAAAAAAACAAATCTAGAAGATTTTCCGTTTTAATGTAAATGTAGGAAATTTTCATTATTAATGAAATTATTAAATCATTATTAAACATTTTTATTAATTAAATCATTATTAAAAATGATTATCACCTCAGCAATGCTTTAATAAGGAAAAAAATTAATGCATACTAGCTGCAAGCCAATATAATCATGTAAATTAATACAAAAATCAGAATTGGGACTAAAAAAAACTTTGATTAGGCACAACAGCAATACCCAAATCATGGAGGATTTTATAACTGCAATTAGTTTGTAAAATTTATTCAGGAGATTCCTAATAACAGGTACAAATCTTTAGTGCCCAACAAAGGAATTACAACAAAATATTCAGAGGAATATCATAAGTCAAAATTACAACCTCCAAAATTATAATCAAATCATGTTTTATTGATATTCAGGAATCCACAACAAATGAAAACATAAATCCTACACATTTCTAAACTTTAAAATCAAATGTCACAAACAGGTAACATTTACTGATCATTCACTGTGTCCCAGCCCTCTCTGGTGCCACTTAAAATAATGGAGTCATGGGTGGCAGGGTTGGTTGGGGGGAGCAGACACTGAGAGTGGATGCAGGAAAAAAAGGTGCTTAAGTCATCTAAGAAAGATATGATGGTGGCTTTTGACTGAGATAGTGACCAAGGAAGTAGAGAGAACTGAAAACATCCCTGGTTTGAATGAACTTAGAAACTACAGAAATTGCTGATGGGTGGGATATGGAATAGATAATCACAAGGAGAGAATGGGCACAAAAAGGGGTTGGAAGATTCCAGAATCTCAAGAAATCATGGTACCCTCCCACTCCGCCTGCCACAAAGAGGAAGTACCACAAATACAGAGGAGAATACCACCAAGAATTAGAGACACCGTTTAAGAAGCTCAAATGCCCAACCTTTAAAAAGAGGGAGGAAATACATGAAAACTCAACCTGAGTAAATACAAAGTATAAGTTCATTTAAAATACACATTAGCAACAACAGTATTCATTACGGGCATCAGTACAGAGACATCAAGCCAAATGTGCATAGGGCATATCTGTCAGAACCTCTGGTTGTACTTGTCCTGTAAGTCTCATGTTCCTGTGGGTCCCTCAACCCTGTCTGGCCACTTGAAAATTCATACAGCAAAAGCATTTACTGTTTCCAGCTACAGCTAGGCCCAAGAGTCCAATACAAGAATCTCAGGGGTAAAGGGAGGGAGGAAGTGAGTGATGGAGGTTATTCTGTTTGATTCAGGTCCAGTCTTAGTCTGTGACCTCCATACCAGACACTTGAGGTCAGATTCAAAAATTTTTCTTAGTCTCATATTGCACTATTCATCCACAGTAGATTTTAGGTAAAATCTACTCCCTCCTCCCTTCCCCATGCCATCCCTACTGAGTAAACAGGATGATGACTTCTACCCTCTGAAGATTCAGACACGGGGCTTGCTCTGAAGCAGTCCTGGATATAGCTCTGTGGCCAAAATAATGGAGCCCTCATTCTAACGAACAAGAAGAATTCCAGAACCAAAGGGGAGACTGATATTCTAGACTTCACAGATTCTATGAAAATGTGGTGTTATAGAATCTAACATTATAGAACAGTCTGTCAGTTTAAGGCTTCCTACTGATCTCTTAAAGGTACTCTGAGAACAGTACAGATGGTCATGAGATTCTTCCATGTTGTTAATATGTAGCTATAGTTTGTTAATTTTCCAGGTGTATGGTGTTCTATTATATAAATATAATCCAGCTGGGCACAGTGGCTCACGCCTGTAATCCTAGCACTTTGGGAAGCCGAGGTGGGCAGATCACGAGGTCAGGAGATGGAGACTATCCTGGCTGACATGGTGAAACCCCATCTCTACTAAAACTACAAAACATTAGCTGGGCATGGTGGCACACACCTGTAATCCCAGCTACTCAGGAGGCTGAGGCAGGAAAAGCTCTTGAACCCGTGAGGCAGAGGTTGCAGTGAGCCAAGATTGTGCCAGTGCACTGCAGCCTGGGCAACAGAGCAAGACTCTGTCTCAAAAAGTTATTATTATTAATTATTTTTAATTTTTAATTTTTAATTAATAATTAATAATTAAATTATTAATCATATAATTAAGTATTATATAATTAAGATTGGGTATATATTAATTATATATAATTATATATAATAATTATATATAATTATATATAATTATAATAATTATATATAATATAATTATATATAATTATAATAATTATATATAATTATATATAATTATATATTACTATATAATTATATATAATTATATATTAATAATATAATTATATATTACTATATAATTATATATAATTATATATTAATAATATAATTATATATAATTATATAGTAATATATAATTATATATAATAAATAATATATATAATTATATAATTATATATAATAAATAATTTATATAACATATAATATAATTAATATATTAATTGGGTATATATATTAATTAGGTATATATGACCTCAAATATAAATTTTGACACTGTTCAGAGTCAAAGAGCATGTCTTGTTCTATGTTTATATTAGTAAAATTAGTAAGTAAACTGTTAATTTTAAATAATCTTTCAAGTCACAGAAACAATATACATTATCATCCTAATTAAAATAGCTTTGCTGAAAATACAAGAATATTCACTACAGGTCTGTTTGTAACGGCAAGAACTGAAGTGAAAATAACTAGTTACATTAATAATAATATATCCTTAAAAAACAGTACTATGCGACCACTAAAATGAATTTGGAAAATCTATAAGTACTTCTACAGAAAGGTCTCCAAATTATTGTGGAAAAAAAAGCAAGGAGTATTACTATGTATATATAATACACTGTCATCTCTATTTAAAAAAATAGACACGACACAATTGTACATGCCTGGAAGATATTGGGATGGTTAAAAAAGAATTTATAAAACTATAGCATCAGAAGTGAGACTAGAGAACTAAGATAAAAGAAAAATTTTTCACTGTATATCTTTTGCATTATTTCCCTTTTCTTTCATACCCTTATACTATATATATATATGTACATACGTGTGTCTCTCAAAAACAATAAAAAGTATCTTTTCTGAGGCCAAAAAATGTAATTCAGGATGGATAGCTGATGAGAATTGTATATACTGGTATAAGAATGGTAGGCAATGATTCCTACTGTTTCTGAGCTAAATGGAATCTAAATTTTGTTTTATTTCCAGTGGTTTTTTTTGGTGGGGCGGGGGGCGCTAACTTAGGATTATAAAGAGTCAGAGCACTATCTTCATATTATAGAAAAAATACTCATTGCCAAACCTTCATTTTTTAGCAGTATCAGAAAATCCCTATAGCACTATTTTCAAACTATTTTACTTTTCTCTAAATATATCCTAAAATATCCTAAAATGCACACCACAGTCCTTAAAAAGCAAATTCAGATTCAGATAGAACAGATAAAGCAGGTACCATAAAATACTGTTAGAAAAAGCAATGTGAACAGTAATTGATTGTTAAAAGATACCGAAAAAGACAAGGTTTCTCTTAAGAATTATAGTTCTTCACATTAATATTTGTGTTCTATGTTTTTAGAACCACCGTAATTTATTAGATTAGTACTGTCAGTTATACCACACAGTTAAACCAGGCACCATAATTCACCTAGTAAAAGCTATTCATGTTACAGACACTATGACCAGAAAATAAAATACTAAACTGAGAATTCAAAATCTCAAAGAATTGTTTAGATATCATCTAGTCTTTCAATTTATAGATTTGCTAATTGAGATTCACAGAAGTTACATAGTTAGCTGAAGGCAAAGACAGAAATCCTCACTCCACAACACGGATATTTGACTCTAATCCACACTATAATAAACCTAATCTTCAGAAGCATAGCAAATATCACTGTATACTTCCTATCATATGCATTAATAAAAACATGAACTGCAATAAATTACTGAAAACCCACATCAAGACTAGTATTTATATGTACAGTAATAATTCACAGCTTTATAGAAGCTATCATTTTAGGCGTCATTTTTAAAAACTGGCTCCAGAGTAAAAGAAGGTGAGTTAATAACCTAGGAGTTAAACAGAAAATACAAGATGTAGCAAAAAGAAGATATGTGACAAATTTCTATTCAAATAATCTGTGTAAAGGCACTACAAAATTATTAGACTTCAACAGAAATCTGGTTTATGTCCTGACAAAAATGTCTAATGTAAATACAAAGACAGACGGAAAGTTTTTAAGCATTACCTATACTGCCTACCATAATGCACATATGTGACTATGTAATAAGTCACCTTCAAATTTTACCTCAAATATAAATCAGACAAATGAATTTGATTAACATTCATTATTACTAGGTACAAACTACAGATTAATCTGAAGAAAAATATTGAGACAATTTTTCCTCAAACAAAAATTTGTGGACTCAGGTTCTGAGCTCTCATAGATATGTAACACAGATTCTACTGGAAAAACAGGGTTAGTAAGGAGAGTAATGGGATATTAATAAAATGACCGATCTGTTGTCCTAGGTTTTCCTGGACAGAATGGAGAATGGAAAAATTGAACCATGAAATCCAAAAGGCATCTGTCTTCCAGGTTTCTCTCTGCCAATGTCTTGAGAAAAATGTTTGAACTTTCCTGTTGGCTTTGTATGCAAATAGCTCCAGATGCAAAGTGAACCACATCTAACTTATTTGGTTCAACATCTGCTGGTCCAATTCCCATTATTCCTTCTAAAGGGTCAGCTTGTGACAGTTTAGTTTGCCCTCTATATAAGCTGTTTGGAAGGAGCTAATTTGGATTAAAGTATCTATCTGGATAGCTTGTTTTTCCCTTTGATGGTCAATGCATTCTAATGTGGTCTGTGTAGTGCTACAAGGAACTTAGAAACATATTAGAAAGGACACTATTCAAGGTTTTGCCTCCCACTTCGCCTTCTAGACAATTTATATTTATACAGTTAAACATAAAAAGTGAACAGTTCTTTGCCTCTAAAACAGCACCACCCACATTGTACACAATGGCAACATGACAACACTTTCTGACATAATATTCTTTTCATGTAGCTGCTATCAAAGATTTGAACTTAAAGTTACTGATGAAAGTGTTTGCCAATATTAACAACACATTTCATGAGACATCCTGTCCTTTTAGATGACAGCCTTTATATGGCATCACTGAAAATGAAATAAGGTGCACGGGTCATGGCATTTGGTGTCTGAAACACAGTAAATTTTCAAATATATGCTAAGTGAGTGAATGAATAAACAAATGAACAAACAAACCAAAGAATTAATTTAAATAAACTCCATGGATTCTGAAACTTTGAGTCCGCTACAATGAGAAAATAAAATAAAATACATGTAGTAATACCAAACTAAGACTAACTTCTTAGAAATTGCAAGGTCAAGTCATGATACAGTCCTTTCAAATCAGTACAGGTAAAGAATTTACATTGGAGGGGGAAAAGGAAGAAATCAGAATACACACACACACACACACACACACACACACACACAGACAGACATATATATATATGTGCCTATATTCTTATACACATATATATACATATATACATACATATTTATATATAAGAAGATAGCCATTCATTTTGAAAAGTCTCTGCTCTTATTAGTTTACTAAAAAGTAGAGCATTACTAGCCTTATGAACATTTATAAAAGACAGTTACTTGTGAATAATTTCTTTTAAAAGAGATTTCTTAGCCAAAAAAAATTATTAATTTTTTTATAAAATACAGTGCTATGAGTAGCCAACTCAAAAACTTTCTTATGTTAGATGCTCTGCAAAGTTGGAGATGATTTTTCTTTGGAAACAAATGTTTAGAAAAGTAAGTTAGAAAAAAAGAAGGCAAAAGAACTACATACTACTCTTATTCCTTCTAGACCTGTAATATATTAAACTAAAATTTAGTCTAGTCTCTATTGTTACCTACTGGCATACAGCAGGACCAGGGAAGAGATGAGAAAAGGTCACCAAAATAGCTGTTGTTTCTTTCAGAAAATCTGTGACTGCTCTTGTTAATCATGATTTCCAGGTCATATGTTTGCATTGAGAATGACCAGGAAAGTTAATTGAGCACCAAAAAAAAAAAACAGCTTTTTAGCTGCCTTTGAGTAATTAGCTAAGATTTCTGAGATTAATATATTTTTGAAGGCAAGTTTGGTTTTGCCTTCTTTCAACTTATGATAGAAAGACTAATTATCCCCAAAGAATTAAAAATAATCAAGAAGAGTTAACAAAGTAAATCTGCTCTACTCATCAAGAAATAATTACTACACATTGTTTATTAAAAAGGCACAGTGCTATGCTAGACACCAAGGATTCAACAGGTTTAAAACACAGTCACTACCCTCCAAATCTCAGACTAACATAGACATAAAGAGATGGGAGTCATACTTATAAAATATTTAAAAATACAAATTAGACACCCATGTTTATAGCAGCATTATTTGCAATAGTCAAAGGTAGAAGCAACCCAGTGTCCATAAACAAATGAACAGATAAACAAAATGTGGTCTATATAGGCAATGGAATATTATTCAGGCTTAAAAAGGAAGGAAATTCTGATACATGCTACCACATGGATGAACCTTGAGAACATTATTCTAAGTAAAATAAGCCAGTTACAAAATGACAAATACTGTATGATTTTACTTTATAAAGTATCTAGAATAGTCAAATTCATAGAAAATAGGATCCTAGTCGCCAGAGGCTGAGGGAAGGGGGCAATGGGGAGTTGTTTGCTGGATACGGAGTTTCGGTTTTACATATACAATACTGAACTGTACACTTAAAAATAGTTAAGATGGTAAATTTTATGTTTTATGTGTTTTACCACAAATTTTAAAAATACAAATTAGCATATGCTAAGGACCAAACAACTGGTACAGAAGTAAAAGAACGGTAAACTCAAAAGAAGTAGCAGTTAATGAGATGCAGAACAAATTCAGTGATAGCTCCATACTTTTTCTTGAAAGAAAAATAAGACTCAAGTAAGTGGATGGAAGATGAGGTAAGTAATACAATCAGGAGCAATGACAAAAATATAGGAACAGACAATGGGAACACTATGTGTATCACAGTTTGGCTTACAGGCTTCAAGCAGAATAGCATGGAAGGCAATGTGGAGGGTTAGGCTATGAAACAGAGAGGAAAATGCTTAAAGAAAGGCAGTTCTTCTCCTTGGGTAGCTTTCACTAAAATAAAGTAATAATTTCTAAATGTTTATGGAGAGTAAAGGAATTAGGAAAAGAGCTTGATAATTTCATATTCATTCATCTCGTATTTACATTCTGCAATTCCTATGACAATAAGGGTGTAAAGACACATTTTACAGGTTAGATATCATAACTTAAGGAGATACAGGCCTAGAGATAATACTTTGTATAAAGCATCAGCATGCACATTTCATTTATTCTTACTGACAATTCATTAATTTCATCAACATTGCCTATAAGCTAGCATTTTAAGAGTTCACTATGTAAATAATGCTAACATACAGTAAGATGCATGTCTTGAGGCACCTCAACCCATTGACAGAACTGCAGGCTATACAGACACTTTAAGAAATACATTATTATCCCAGTTGCTATTATGAAATCCTCCTCCACCTACTGGCCTGTCCTGAAGCAGTAGAATCACTAGGCTCACCAAACCCACCTCATTCTTTACTTAACAAAATCCTTTATCCTAACCCCAAGAATGAAGATTTTTATTTTCCCCAAAAAACTTTAAAAATGTAAACCAAATGTTTCTTAGTGCTCTTCTTGGATTTTAAGCTGTGGTAAAGCTTGGTTAATCATCATGTCTTTTTAAAATATTTTCCATATGGATTATAGACAGCTAAGATACAGGTAGGTGGGAAAAAAGGAGAAAATTAGTCTTTTCTTCAACTGAAAAGAATCTGCCTTAGATCTCTTAAGGGGTTCCTATCTTCTCAGGTCTTTACTGTGGAAATGATTACATTGTTAGCTACGTAAGCTGTTCACATCACACTCACCTAAACAACTTCCAGCTACCTGAATCAAGAGGCAGACTTCTCCAGTCAGAGGAAGACAACTAACAAAGGAAAAAGATAGCTTTGGCTGAGCAAACATGCACCATGTCTTTAACTTCAGCCCTTAGCCATGTTTGTTATTCTCCATTTCTGCAAGTCACTGAGAAAATCTAGAAAGAGTTAATTCTTCAGATCTAATTTTTCAAAGGGAGTGAGGGAAAAAAGAGTGTGTGAGTGTGAGTGTGTGCATGTGTGTGTGTGCCAGATGATTTGTCCTTTAATTCCAGTTTCGCGAAGGTTTGAGAACTTGACCCACTAATACACAGACGTGCAGATGTGACATATAATATTCACTCCTAGAGAAGAGGAATTAGATAATTTGCTCATAATATACAATTTTTTAGTACTTTGCCACAGTTTTATTATAAGAAAAGAGACTCTGTTCATGCTTTCATAAAAAGTAAAGAAGTACAATTTGCCTTAAACTTCCAGTCTACTGAAATCATTTCCTCAAAAGCCACTTATGACCATCTATGGTTTTTTTCTCAGCCTCCAATCTCATTGACCTCCCTAATGCCTTTGGCATCAGTGCCCATAGCTTCTTTGAAATTTTCTACTTCTAATTTCTGTGTTGCAGCACTAGCCCACAATCCCCTTACTTCTCAGATCTCTTTTACCTCCTCCTATTCCACACCTTTAAACATCCAAATTAATCTACTCAGCCTTATTCTATCTATGTACTCTTCCTCCCAGCAATCTCCTACAACTTTAAGTGTCATTATCAATGGGAAAACTCCTAAACCAAGAACTCCAGCCCTAACCTTTCTTCTGAGTTTCAGGTTCCTTAAATATATTATACATGTCTAACATTAATTCATTAAGGCTCCATCTGTCCAAATCCAAGTCTCAAATTCTCTATTTCTGTTCATGGTAACACCATTCTTTCAGAACCAAGACTTGAAACCTCAAAAATCAATTTTAACTCCTCCTTCACTGTCACATCCAGACAGTCCTGCTGATAACTCTTTTCAAAAAACCTGAGTTATTGAAAAAGAACTGAAATAGAATCTGAAAGAATACACTTCATCCCTAAACACAGTTATGTGTATCAAATGATAAAACTTTTTAAAACCATTTTGTCATCCACACAATGGAAAGAGTATAGTTGCTCTGCCTACTTTACAATAAACAAATGCATGACAGCACACTAAAAATCCTGAGCCATTATATAAATATCATCTACTATCCCAGCTCTCCCTATCCATTTCCAATGCCATGCTAATCTGTTAATTCATTCAGTTACTAGTTCCCTTGTTCACTTTATTCTTTATTCATCCTCCAAATACTTATTGAGAGCCAACTATAAGCCAGATACTATGCCCCACATTTAAGATATAACAACAGGACAAACAGACATAGTGGCTAACCCACAAAACTTGCTGTCCAACATGAAAGTCAGATAATAGGTGCACGTAGACATGGGAGGGTTTGCTGGAAAGGTGACCCAGAAAAAAAAATTAAAGCAAGAAATACTTTTAAAACATAGGAGTTAGTATCATAAGGGGGTAGGAATGAACAGCAATGAGAAGCAATAAAGACAATTCCCAGCAAAGGAAATAACACACAGCCCTCAAATAAAAATGAGCATCCTAACAATGCCATCACCTTTCTCTCATTTACACTTTTGTTCCATTTATCTTTCTCCCTTCAAAATCTTTCCTCATTCTCCCATATCTGCCTATTGAAATTATATGCACCCTTCAGAGAACAGATCAACTGTATAAACATATACATATATTTCCAGCTGCCAGGTTACTACTTGACTCAGATCAGGTATGAAAATAAGAATTTGCTAAATAAATGGATGATAAAATCATCATTCTTCCCAAATGACAAATCTATTTCATATTACAAATATGCATGTGCCTACCTTATCTACCCTTGAA
This sequence comes from Homo sapiens, assembly GCF_000001405.40. NCBI lineage: Eukaryota > Metazoa > Chordata > Mammalia > Primates > Hominidae > Homo > Homo sapiens. The sequence goes on along the minus strand of NC_000012.12, from coordinate 28,260,140 downwards.
GTAAAGGACTAGACTATGTTCCATACATCTCTATATCCCCATAGTGCCTAATGCATAATAAGCACTTGATTAATATTTTACAATAAATAACTGTAACATTTGAGGTCTAGGCAGAGCTGTTGAAGAAAATACTTTCATCTTCTCCCAACTTTAACAGATTTAACAGAAAACTCTGAAAGCTCAAAATATTCTTTTGACATAAATTAATATTAAACATGAGGTCTTCCAAGAAACATCTGTCAATAATGGATTTATTTTTGTATTTAATTTTTAATTTTAATTTTCAATATTTTTAAGTAATTTTATTGCAAACACACTTCTAAATTTAAATATGTTGGAGATGATAAATTATTTTTGGACTATAAAAAGGAATCTTTAATGAACTGGACAACCTAAAAAAGTTATTGGGCACCTCACCTTCCAAAAACTAAGATAAATTTAAAAATGTAAATTGTAGTTTAATTTCATTTAATGTTCCTGATATCATCTTTAGAATCAGCCTCAAGTCACCATCACAAAATGTGTTATGTAATTCACAATTTGTTATTTTAAAAACCTAAAGAGTAAATCTGGATCACTCCATTTTTCAGATCAGTGAAGGACAAGTAAAAAAGTTGAGAAATAGGGTTTCAAAGAGTTGCCAAAAATGTTACATGGGAAAAAAAAAAAAAAAAACCCTAATTCCTGGATACCAATACCTGCAGGAAAGGCAGCCCAAGGAATAGCAGGAGATGTTGTTTGGGTTTCACCACTTCCACCATCAAAAGTCTCCGCAGCCTACAAGACAAAGGCAAGATTATTTTAGAAGATGTGAAAAGCAGAAATGCTATTTAAGTGATCAAGCATTCCAGTTCAATAGGCATATCTTCTATAACACACCAGACATTTTCATATTCCCTCTAAATAACTGCTTTTCAGTCTTAACTCCTACCACTCCTATCATGACTCACCACCCCCAGTACCCATGCCTTATTAACTTCAAGTAAAAATTTTTTCCTTATTCAGATAACTCTACTGTTAGTCAATATTTTTATTTTATATATTCTTAATCACATTTTCACTTGTAAACTTTATATTTAAGTATTTTAACTTAACTTACCACATTTAACCATCTATGTAGGAAAAATATTTGTCTTTAAAAAATATAGACACCAAATTCTTTTAATTAATTAGCACAAGACCCAATTAGAGATTAATTCAAAGAAATAGGATTCATCTGTCTTGAATAATATACTACCTAGAGTTAATAGCTTTCAATATTTAGAGAATTTCTAAAACTCAAGTTTTCAATTAACAAGCCGTCCTATTTTGGAACAATTACTGAATACTGAGTTTGTAGGTAAGAGCACAGAGTTTTCTGTCTGTTAGATGCCCAGGTCACAGCAAATTTTCTACTAAAAATTAGAGCCAGAATTTCAATGTGTATTCTCCACTGAGTTGCCAACCCCTTAAGGAGAAGTTAAAAGGGGTAATCTGACACAGGAGCTAAGTGACACAGAATACAGTAGCTATTCTCTACAACTATGAAAAATGAACATATTTTATATAACCAAGGGTAGAGACCTTCCCTATTTATACAGCAGGATATGGAAAGAAAGAAAAACCTAATAACTACAATTAAATTGTAACACTGGTTAACCTGTACCTATGCAGTACTGAAAGGAATCAATTTGATGAATATAACAAAGTGTAATACTGTTATTCTACAGAACACTATCCACTGTATTTTTTTCCTAAATAATACATGAAGTGTGGTTTAAATAAAGAAGACTATGCCAGACTGTAACCCTCAAATAACAACTTCTAAACAATAAACTAAGCCAGATGATATCTGAAACATACATTTTCCTCAAAATGGAAGGCATTTTAACAAAAATAAATGTTACATTTCAGTAACATAAATAAGATTCAATCACTCAACAAAACCAAAATATTAAGCATACAAGCATGCTTAAACAAAAACCAGTTTTAGATGAAATAGAGAAAACAGGTATGTCTATACTCCATATTGACTGATTTTAAAGATCAGCAAAAGAGAAGAAGATCCTAACAAAAACCTCACACCATTCTTTCATGAAATTCACAACACTGAATATATACTTAACATCTTATTCATCCTATTAAGGTCATTAATTACAATCCCTGGTTTTTATAATTCCCTTTTTACCAAATCCAAAGTAGGTAAAATTCTTTAAAAAAAAAAAAAAAAATCACAGCATTCCCTTGATGGTAGTTCCAGGACTTGAGCTCAGGCCTCCTGACTCCTAATCCAGAGATTTTCCTGCAAGACTATACTGGCTCCATAAAAATAACTGGGTTATAAAATATTTCAATAAAATGAACACACATTGAAAAGGATTAAGGAAAAGACAGTGCTCCTTCAGCTAACAATTTCCACTTACAAAGTATCCATTCCTAACCTACTAGAATAATCTAACAATACAAACATACTAATTAACTTTATAACCACCAAAAGGCTATGTACTTAATATACTAAATCAACTCATTGCAGGTATAAACATGCAAATATGTGACAGGATCTTTAGTACTCATCCATCATCTCACAAGTATTTCCTAACAGACATGTATCCCAATAAAATCATCTGCTGACAATTTTTAAAATCTTTCCTTTAGTGCTTACACTGGTAGCACTTAATTAACTCAATTTAAACCATTCCTATGGGCAAGTCCAAATGTTCTATAATAATACATCAGTTTTAATTTTTAGAGGGTTTTTTTTTATTTTTCTTGATTTCATCTTTTTACTCCAGAATTACATTAAAATGATCAAGGAAATATCATGAATGCCAATGAAATATAATACATTTTCAAAATAGTTTACTCCATTATAATCCCACAAAGTTAAAACAAACTAATGTAAATAACAGTGCATACCTCAAAACCACCAAAATCATCATCATCCATTCTTCAAGTGGCACCTGAAAAATATAAGATATTGAAACAAGCCCGCACACACACAGTCATTTATGTCAAAATACTCTCCAACTTAAATGTATACATATTTATTTGTAAATTAGAATTTCTAACTGTCTATGCATTTTTTATGCAAAAAAGAATTTGCAATTGGCTTTTACTTTTTGGCAAAATTAGCAATTTCTGTAACTTTTTCAGCAACCATGTATTTTGCCATTTTATGTTGAGATGCCAGGAGTGGAAAAATATTCTTTTACATTTTAATTTGCTTTTCCCAAATTGGCACTAGAGCTCAATTCAATAATGCTTCCTGCTTTTTGCATCTATTCCTCAGTTGTCTGGCAACATCAGCACAAACTCCAGCTAAGAACAGGACTGTGGTGAGTTTTTGGAAATCTGTCCCCTACCACAAAGGTTCTTCCCTCGGTTTCAGGGCCAAGGCTGATTTAGATTTTCAAAATTGATCAGCATTTTTGAGCTGTGGCCACAACTTTTGGATCATTTTGATATGTGTATTTTTAGCTGAAACTGCTTTGCACTTTTGGAAAAATGTGGAGCAAGTTACTAGGCTGATCAAGATAAATCAAGTCATGTATTCATGGGAGATGAGGGATGAGAAAAACACAAATAAATATCCAGAATTCCTCTTTTCTTTACTCTTAAAGTATGTAAGAGAGACAAGCACTCAAATATTATTTGCTTTTTTAGTCCTAAATGTATATCATAAAAATGAAAAGATAAAACCATTAGTATCAGGGCTTTAAAAAAAAAAAAAGGAGCAGCAGCTTTATCAAACAAACCATGCAAGAACTAAATAACCTGAAAAGGTGAAATTAGTAAGAGGAAGTATACATTAAAATGAAAAATAAGTTCTCATATAGATTGTTTCTTAATTTACAATTTGGAACCTGTAATTGTGAATCTATAGCTGCAAGTAATACTCTAGTCAGTAATAATTGGTTTATTTTTCTATCATTCAGAAGTGACCATATGACAAAATAATCTGTACAACAAACCCCCATGACAGGAGTTTGTCTTTGTAATAAACCTGCACATGTACCCCTTAACCTAAAAGTTAATTTAAAAAGCAATGTTTTAAATTAAAAAGAAAACTTTAAGTGAACATACCCAAATGTTGATTATAGTTTCCTTGACTCAGTAATACAAGATGGACTTCATTACAGGAAAACAATCCTTTCCCACTTCTAAAATAAAAATAGCTATACATATTAAACTATATGTTAAACATTAATCTTAAGGGCATTTTCTAAGGTCATTTGCTTTAAGTAGTCATCTATATCTGTGCTTTACCTTCTGGAAACTAGTGCTAACACCTTCAAAAAGAAAATTCAAAAAATTGTCAAAGAAAAAAACAGTAAAAACATTAATTTCAACGATTGTTTTAACAGGCAAAGGAAATTCTTTTCACAGAAACTCAGTAGGTAATGACACTAAAAAATATATATTTAGACAGAAACATATTGTAAAAAGGAAAGGTATTAAATTAACCAGAATATAATCATGGTATCATTACCATTACTCACAATTTTAGCAATCTGATGAAAATGTTTTATAAAATGTATTTCTCCAAAAATTAAAACTAAGCAGGTCATCCACGTATAGCACCTAAAAAATATAAACCAGACTTTCAGAAACTTTTGATGATGTTTAGTTTGAAATGGAACTCACATTATTCTGTGTTGCAAGTGAACAGAAATCTGTATGTGGCTACATTTTTCATGAAGAAATTATGAAAGAAGAGTGATATGAACATCAAGAATTAACCAAGTCAAACTATAAACACCAACTTTATCTCTTCCACATGTATCCCATGAATCTGAAGAAACAAAAAATTTTTAGCATCTACATATGCTGTACTCAAATAATATGGTTTCAAAAGAATGGAATTTTTAGAGTAATGCTTCTGTGTGTTTTCTTAAGTCACTTCCCAATAAACTATTTGTAAGGTGACAGAAAATTTGAAAATAAAAACAAATACCCACATCTAACAATCATTTCAGCTTGTTTGACTGTGGTAATGAACCAAATACAGTCAGTTTCCTAAGTTCTGATTTAGCTCTGCAAAAGAACATACTAGTGACCACTGATGTTTTCCAGACTCCAGCAACTTTTACATATTCGGTGGCTCACGCCTGTAATCCCAGCACTTTGGAAGGCTGAGGTAGGCGGATCACCTGAGGTCAGCAGCAGTTCAAGACCAGCCTGGTCAACATGGTGAAACCCTGCCTCTACTAAAAATACAAAAAATTAGCCAGGTGTGGTGGCACACGACTGTAATCCCAGCTACTTGTGGGGCTGAGGTAGAAGAATCGCTTGAACCTGAGAGGTGGAGGTTGCAGTGAGCCGAGATCGCACCATTGCACTCCAGCCCAGGCAACAAGAGTGAAACTCCATCAAAAAAAAAAAAAAAAAAGCAGATGATACTCTTCCTTTTATTTTCAAAGAAATATTAATACGTTTAAAAAAACAAATTATGTCCCAAGTTACTTAACATATAATTCTAGAGAAATATTTTTAAAGCAATAATCTTTCTGCATATAATTTAGACTTCAATTCCTGCAATAGTTTACTTCTGAGCATTTTAAATAGGAGAAAAGAAAATTAACAGCATTGACTTGTAAAAATAAAATTTATAAAATATGAAAATCAACAGTTTTTAAAAGGAAATATACAAATGTGGGCTTATTTATGTATTTAGCTACTCCAATACATTTAAAATATTTACTTTATCTAAAGTGCATTCTTATCAAGTATTTTAGAATATTCTAGCATTTAACATTATAGCCCATTAAACTACAAATATTATAAGAATGTAGCAACAGCAAATATATCTGACATCTAAGTTACAGAATCATAAGCCTGGCCAAAACATTAACAGATCACATAATTCATTCTTTTGTGTAATGGCAGAAAGACAGGTGTATACTTCATTATAATTAGGAATCTACGCTGAAAGTTTTCACAATATCAAGGTCTAACAATTCTCAAACTTCTTTATATCTAAATTTAATCTCTTTTTTTGCCTTATTGTATTAATTCCCTACTTTGCTAGTCTGAATATTTAATACACTGCTGATATTCTAAAAATGTTTTATAAGAAAGACATACAAAAGGACAAAACATATACAGAATACACAATGTAATAAACTTTTATTCAGCAATTCTGTATCAGTTAAGGTCCTCAAAGAAGTTACAGTCTGGTGTACAGAGGAGGGCAGAGTGTAAGAAAAGCATTCAAATACAAATAACATAAGATGTAAAAGAGTCTCAAAAGAGAAGAAAAAATTTCCAAAGTAAGAAGAAAGATTTTCAGAAGATGATATATCTGGTTGGAAGCATCATTAAATGCCTAAGGTAGAAGGAGACATTTGAGAAAGATTTCAACAGATCTGACAGAAAATGTCAAATGGCACATCAAAACACACATTTTATTCATCTTTACGGAAAGGTATCCCTGTAAGAATACAAAGATTTCTTTTGATTATTGGCTTCTGCATAAAAATTAGGTCAAAGAGAATGTGAAATGAGAAAACTACAAGAAATTTCAAAGCAAATACAAGGAAAATGAGTCACTGGAAAAATGAGAATCACACTTATGAATACATAAGAGAATCCTCAAAAGGCTCAGCAATGGGAGGTACTGAAAGTCAAGTAAAACCGAAACTCAAAATTAAGAGTCATAGGTATATGCTAAGACCACTGCCAGAATCTGCACAACTGGGTAACCTACAATTTATCACCACAGCAGAAGACTGGAGGTTCATTCCCTGGACAGGGTAAAGCTGAGGGTCTCCAGGCAGGAAGATATCAACACAGGTGGACTAGGTGAAGTTATATCTTGGGGAGGGGAGAGGGTGGTTAAATATGTAGACCAGTAACTCCAGACATCTTTCACTACTCAGCAACCAAAACAACAGCGGCTGGGCTGAAACCTCTAGTCAGAAGAGCTGCAGATTCTTCAGTGATGAATCTACTCAACCCATGAAAAGGACCTTATCAGACGTTCCACAAAGAAACAACTCACTCATGAAATACTACTTTGACAAATCCCACCCACAAGCACAAAATTTCCAATTAGCTTCTAATTTTAATAACAGGCAGAACAGCATAAAGGTTAAAAGAAGGGACTATAGAGTTAAGATGGCTGGATTCAAATTCCAGCTCTGCCACTTACTGTGTTACATTGGGCATTTTACTTAAAACATTGTGTGCCTCAGTTTCCTCATCTATCGAATATTATAATAGCTAACTCCTAAAGTCAGTACAAGGATTAAATATGTTAAAACAGATGAAGCACTCAGAACAGTATCTGATACATTCTAAGCATTATATAAGTGTTTGCTACTTTATTAGTGCCTCAATCTTACATGTGAACAGACTATCAAGGACGACCAAAGAGATGAAGAAAGCATCTAATTAAAAAACAAATAGAAGAAAAAAATAGAGACCAAACCATAAAAGAAAACTAGGATGAAATAAACAAAGACTATCCAAGAAAGAAAAAAACAAAACCATAGTATCTTCAGAAAGTTAACAACAGAAGATAGTTCATCCATGAATTACGAACAGGATGCCCTAATTTCAGGGGAGAAAATGATCAAGAAAGGAGTAAACAACAAGACTGAGGCCTTGGAAATAAAAATATATAATTGCAGAAATGAAAAACTGCCGGATAGAAAATAAAATTAAGGAAATTTTCTTTTAAAAAAGTATAAGAGAAAAAAATGGGAAGTCAGAGTAAAAAAAAGTTACAAGATCCAGCCTAGGATACGTAATATCTAATTATTAGGACTCTAGGAGTTCAAGAAAGACAGAAAAGAGAAAACAAAAGTAAAGAAATCATCAACAAAATAATTCAGGAAAATTTTCTAAAACAAAAGGATATTATATCCAGTAATGGGTATATCAACTGTCCAAGAGAAAAAAAGAAGAAAAAAAACCCACAGCAAGGCACAGTAGAGACAAAGGGAAGATCCTACAAGCTTCCAGAGAGAAAATAGGCTTCATTCAAAGGACCAACAACATAATGGTCTCACACTTCATAACAGCATCACTGGAAGGTAAAAAACAATGGACTAATAATGCTTTTAAAATTCTGGGGGAAAATGATTTACAGCATGGAATTCTATATTCAACCAAACCAACATATAATTGAGGGAAGAATAAAGTCATGTTCACACCTGTAAAGTCTCAAAACAATTTTTATTGCACACTTTCTTTAAAAGCTATGGAGTAAACCAAGAGAATAAGACAAGAAAGAAAAAGACATAGGATTAGGAAAGATCCAACTAAAGTGAAAAGCAAAGGGATTTCTCCCAGAATAATAGTGAACTGAGTTCCACAATACCTATGAAGCAAGAAGAGATACCTCCAGTCTAGATTGGAGCAAATCAGAAAGCTCCTGAGACATGTATTCAAGAAATGAAATAGACTAGCTCATATGTTTTACCATCATGAGTGTAATTTTAAACAATTAGGGGAAACTTCAGAGTTGAATTAGTGACTAGAGAACTAACCAAATGAAAACAGAGAAACCAGTATGAAGGAGATGAGGAGGCTGGAAAAGCATGGAGGACACAGAAGACAGCAGTATTTCATAGCAAGCCTTATTACAATTTTAAACTATGAGCACAAAAAAACAACATGGCATGATGAGCCAGCTACCTATTAGTTCTATCAAAATATTCTGAGAAAAACTCAAGAAAGTTTTTCTTTACAAAACTAACCATAAAAGACATAAATGCTTTAAATTTGCATTTACTCAACAAATAAATTAGGATTTTTCATAATAGTCTCCATTATAACATCTTCCCATATTACAAGTATTCATACCAAATACAAGATTGTATCTCTAGACACCAAAGTTGCTCAAAACCTAACCAACCTGCACCCCTCCCCTTCTAAAAAGGTCTAATAAAGACATTTTGATAACTGACTTCAAAAAATAAAATCTCAAGAGACCACCCAAATTATCTGATCGTCCCCAAATATCCTATTAGTTAACACTGTCCACTTAGCATTCAACTAAATCTCCATCTGATCTGGAAAACTACTTGCTAACATCCTCACAGTCGCAATAATACTTTTCCATTTGATCCTGTTTAATGCCATGTTTCCTAGAAGCAACAGAGACAAGTGGTTTTTTTTCTGACTCTTCTGGGCAAACAGAAATTAGAGAAAACAGAACAAAGGAAATACACACACACACACACACACACACACACACACACACTCAAACCTTAAAGTTAAAAATAGAAAGCAATTAAGACTGAGCTAATTAGAAGAGTCAAAATATGTAAGAACAGAATTTCAGGCTTATTGGGTCAAGAAAATGTAACTGTCTACCTAAGTTTATATAAGAAATCTGGAGGTAGTGTGGGGATCCTTTCTTTATTCATCTTTTTTTTACCCTCCAGCAATTGAACTGAGCAGTTCCTAGCACATAGTAAGGGCTCAAAGAATATTTCTGAATTAATGCCTTCAAAATAAATGACTGAATGACAGCAAATTAGTTGCTAATAGTTCCCACATGACTTCCTTTTCCCTCTTACTTTTCCAAGAAAATTACAGTGGATCTTGGGCACTAGAAGACCCAGTTGCTAGCATTGAAACAGCTCTACCCATATTAAGACTGTGCCTAAGGACCAATATCTTAAAAGATACTACATTGCTACTTTATATTCTCATCAAGTGTCCAATTATTATTGGGGTTAATAATTTTGAAACTGCCTATGAAGCTGAATTAAAGAAGTATTGCCATACTATGAATTCTACTACCAGTGAAACTTGGCCAGTGGCAGATTATTACAAGTCCAAAGAAAGCAAACTGAGGTGTAAATTTATTACCTAAAAAACATTATATTCATAAATGATCCAATAGGAAAACATCCCAACTACTAATAACTAAATTTTCCTTTATAATTTTCATCTGTTATCAATTAAGTCTGTCTTTACCAACCTTCATTCAGAAAACTTACACATCCCAAAAAGTAACAACAAAAATAAAAACTACAAGACATTTACTCTCCAAACCCTTATATCTACCCTCACCCTCTTTGGTTAAGTCTTCAACTTCCAACTCCTTAATAGCAATCTTTTCCCAGGCTGATAGCCCTCTGATTCTATCTCATTATCTTCTCCTTCAAAAAATGTATGCCCTCTCATAATCTTAGTAGTCTACACAGATTTTGCAGAACTAATCACTTCTCAGGGGCCAGTCATACATTCCCAACCAAAAAATGAACATTTTTACAGGGCTATCCCTCTATCAACTCAAAATTCTCACTGTATGAACTGTATTCTTATCTGGCAAAATCTCATCGCTCAATGAATGCTAAAGGTAAGATATACTACTTCCTCTCCTCACATTTTAAAAGAGAGCACAGGCCTGTTTTCAATAGAAGGAAATGTGATTGAAGAAGTACTGTAGTCCTTTATCCTCTTTACTGCTCTCAAAAAAAAAAAAAAGTAATCATAGTGAGAGCAAAACATCCCTAAGTGTCACTGTTAGCTAAGATTAATTATAAAATTTAGTGTGCATGCAAAGTACAACCTCTTTGAGCTCCTTACTGGGAACTTGGTGCCTTCAAACAATATACTATTCTTGCAGTTTAGCTCCCATAAAGAAGCTCATCAGGGAAAAACTTCATTCTTTAAGCACAGAGACTTGTTTTTTAGCTATTCTGCCTGTGACCAGATGGGTAAATTTAATTTAGAAGAAAACCTGTGGGAGACCTCATTTCAGATTTAGGCCCAAGCCAGGTTTTAACAATAAAGTTGCTACTCTGATTTCTATACAACTCTTGGTTCCATTCCTCAGCTGATTCAGAATCCAGAGTGGTTGCAAGGCAACTGATAACACCTCCCTCCCACCCCAGGAACCACCAATAATATCCAATTACCTGTCTTCTGCTGACAACTATCAGAACAAAATCACATAAAATTCATGTTTCCCCTCTTCAACTGGATTCACAGTGCTGCCCAACACACCCAGTATTTCTTTAAAGTTATTTCTCTCATTCTCCAGAAAAGCTATTTCAAAGACTGCCAACTCTCCTCAAACTTCCAGCCTTTCTATTCCTTTCTGCTATCAAAGCAAATAGCCTGGCCTCCTGCTTAACAAAGAAAACAGAAGGCATTTTAAGAGAAGTCCCTCAACTTCTTGTTACCAAAACTATAGCTACCAGCATCTGTACTCAGCTATTACAACTCATTCTGCTCACAAAGAAAAAGGAACCCTTCTGCCTACTTAAGACTAACCCCCAAACCCTCCCAGCAACCTGGGCTCTCAGAGACTTGGCTCTCTCAATTGTTTCCTCTTAACTATTCAACCTCCTCTTATTTAGCTCTTTCTCATCAACAATGAAACATGCTCCAAGCCCTACAGTTTAAAAATGAAAACAGAACAAAAACAAAAACAAAACCTTCCTCAAATACAGTGTCCTCCAACCACAGTCCTATCCTTTTCACAGCTCAACTTCAGACACTATTGTTATATCTCATGCCTGCAACCAATTACATCCTTTTTATTATGCAAAATGAAACAATTCCTTGTCTTATTTGAACATTAACATCATTTGATTAGTCTTTTCTTCTCAAAACACTTCTCACTTCATGCTATATAAGACTATCATACTCCTTCCTTCTTCCTAGTTTTCTAACTGCTTTAGCTCAATCTCTCTTGCAGGTTCTTCTACCTATCCTTTAAATTTTGGTGCTCCAAAGGGCTCCAACCTAACCCTTCCTTTCTTTCACTTTAGATACACTCCCTGGACTATCTCATTCACATCTTTGGATTCATTTACAAACATAAGCTATGGTATCTCTATCTCTAATTTAGATGTGTTTCCTGAGCTCCAGATCTACATAGCCAAGAGACAACTGTAATCTAACAGGAACCTCAAATGCAATACAACCAAAACTCAAGATTGAATTCAACATCTCCCCCACCAACCTCAAATTTACCCTTCTTCCAGGGGTCTTTAGACCAGTGATTGCCACTACCTCTATAACACATTTGGTCAAGAAGAAAACTTGCAGTCATCTTTGCCTCATACTTCTCTCTCTCACCCCATATATAAAATCAATCACAAAATCCTATCTCCGAGAGCAGGGGTCCCCAACCCGCGGACACGAACCGGTCTGGGTCCTTGGCCTGTTAGGAACCAGGCTGCACAGCAGGAGGTGAGTGGCCAGCAAGTAAGCATTACCACCTGAGCTCTGCCTCCTGTCAGATTAGCAGCAGCATTAGATTCTCAAAGGAGCACGAACCCTATTGTGAACTGTGCATATGAGGGATCTAGGCTGTGTGCTCCTTAGGAGAATCTAACTAATGCCTGATGATCCGAGGTGGAACAATTTCATCCCAAAACCATCTCCCAACGTTCCAGTTCATAGAAAAATTGTCTTCCACAAAACCAGTCCCTGGTGCCAACAAGGTTCGGGACCGCTGTCCCAGATACCTCCAGAATACATCTACTCCTCTCAATCCCCAATACTTTCACCCTAAGCAAGGTCACCATTATCTTTCATCTAGTTTATAGCATCAAACTCCAAAACAGTACTCTGCTTCCAATTTTGCTCCTTTCTAGTCCATTCTCCACTCTGCAACCTAAGTGTTCCTTCTAAATACTCCTCCTACTTAAAACCTTATTCAATGGCTTCTCATTATTTTACAAAGTAAAAATTCTTTTTTTTTTTTTTTTTTGAGACGGAGTCTTGGTCTCTCACCCAGGCTGGAGTGCAGTGGCCCGGTCTCGGCTAACTGCAAGCTCCGCCTCCCGGGTTCACGCCATTCTCCTGGCTTAGCCTCCCAAGTAGCTGAGACTACAGGCGCCCTCCACCATGCCCAGCTAATTTTTTGTATTTTTAGTAGAGGCGGGGTTTCACCATGTTAGCCAGGATGGTCTCAATCTCCTGACCTCATGATCCACCGGCCTCGGCCTCCCAAAGTGCTGGGATTACAGGCGTGAGCCACCACGCCCAGCCCAAAGTAAAAATTCCTAACAAGAATTAATGGACCTTTGTAACCTAGTTGCTTCTATCATCCTCATCTCCATCAGATCCATATCCTGTAATCACACAGAAATTTGTGTTTGAACCATATGATGCTGGCCAAATCACTACGCTTTCTCTGGGCCACAGTGTCCTCATATGTCAAATGAACAGGCTGATCAGAGGACTTCTAAGGTATTACACTCTAAGATACTCTAAATATATGAAACTACACTATTACTATAGCCAAATTCACCTTTTCTTCACAAACTACTTTCTCTCCTCAATCTGTTCTTTTCAGTCAATAGTATTATCCTTCTTTAATCCATCCAGGATGCAAAACCCAGGTGTCACCTTTTACTTTTCACTTGACACTTTACACCACAGCAGGTAAGTCAGTTAATTCTATATTATTTCCCCACTCATCCTTTCTTGTCTCCTCTAGTGACCATCTTTGTGGCTTGGATCTCTATCACTATTTCTTGAAAACTACCAGAACTTACTTCTTGTCATTCTGCTCTCCAATCCTTTCATTATACTGTATAACTATTTCTAAAACAATCATGTTTTAGACCCTAAAACTATCATGTCAATCTCAACTCCAAATCTTTCAAAACAAGAATGCCAAATCCATGCCTCTATGGGATATGATCTTTGGAGTCCCCCATATAAGCAAAATAAGCATGATGACAAAATTGTGATTTGCATTGGTACTAATGATTAAAAGTAAAAATAGGTCCTGTAAAAAAAAGTCTACAAATATATCACAATATCAAGGCACAAGAATGTGCTCTATACAACAAATAATAGAGAAAAGTGTCACATAGTAATCACGGTAAAATCAGTGTTGACAACATAAACCTGAAGACCCTGACAGTAAGTTGTAATACATATAACTCTTCCCTGTGCTTATCTGGACTCACAATCCTTAATTTATTTTTTCATCATTCCCTTACTTTCAAATGAATGATGTTTCATCTCTTCTATATTTACTACCAAAAAGCATATTACTTTTATCTGAACTATTTTTAAAGGGTATCCTGCAGTATGTCAATTTGGGGGACCTAACTTTTTCTTATGATATTATGTTGCTAATATTATTATGGCTATTATTCATTCTTTTGGCTGCTATATTAATTATATGCCAAAGTTTATTCAGCCACTTTCCTATCAAGAGACATCTGGGTAGTTTACAGGATTTTGTTATTGAGACCAGAAATGCTGTGAACATTTTTCAATACATCTACTTTTGTTTATACACAGAACTTCCCTTGAGTATATGCCTATGAGTAAAATAATTGGGTTGTAACATTTGTCTATGTTTAGTTTCACAGGAAAATGAAAAAGTACTTTCCAAAATGGTGGCATGAATACAGAGGTCCCATAAATCTTCATCCTTCCTGACACTTGGTTTTAAATGGCATCTCATTTTGTACTTAATTTGACTTCCCTGATCATTAATGAAGTTAAAATTTCTTCATATGATTATCAATGATATGTGGTTCCTCCTTTGTGAAATGCCTATTCACATCTTTATTTTTTGACTGTGTTGTGTTTTTAATTGGATAAATTTTTTAAAATAATTCTTGATATTAATCATTTGTCAGCTGTGTATATTGCAAACATCTTCTAGTTTATAACATGTGTTTCCACTTTATTTAAGGCAGCTTTTGATGAACAGAAATTCTTAATCTATTCTTTAATAACAATTTATCAGTTGCTTAGTCTTATTTTTTAAATCCTTTGCCATCTATAAAAGGTATATACCTTTATTTACTACAAGGAAATTTTATTTTTGACATTTAAGTATTTCAGCCATCTGTATTTGAGTATTTATATGGTAGAAGCAGAGATCTAATTCTTTTTTTTTCCTGATATGGATCATTTTTCCTGATTACATTTATTATACAATAACTTCTTTCCTTGCTAATCTGATAAGCCATCTTTATCATACACCAAATTTATTCTAGTATAAACAGACCCATAAACACTGTGGGTCTGTTTCTAGCTATAAGATTATTTCAGCAGAAAAGGAATCTTTATGATAGTGAGTGAGCCCTACAACTAAGATATACCATGGTTAAGTTTTTTCTAAAAGGACTACTGATAACATTCTATAAATACCCCTAAAGATGTCTCAAAAATTTCTTGTTAGGTGCATTCAATAAATAGGAATGCACCTATGATAGTATCTATGATACTATTTCAATGTCTTCTTTTATACTTTCTAGTTATTTGTTGTTACTATAATAACAATCCAATTGACTTCTATATTAATCTACCTACTCAACTTTAGTAAACTCTTATTTCTTTTTTTTTTTTGAGACAGAGTTTCCCTCTTGTTGCCCATGCTGGAGTGCAATGGCGCAATCTCAGCTCACTGCAATGTGCTTCTGTCTTTTGCTCTTGTATTGCTTGCTCTTGGAGCCTAGATGCCATTATGTGAGACAGACCAAACTGGCCCACACTGAGATATCACATGGAAAAGCCGTATGTAAGTTTTCCAACTGACTGCCTAATTAAGTTCCCAGCCAACAGCCAGCATCATATCACCAGACATATAAATGAAGATACTTTAAGATGAATCCAGCCCCTAGCCAGCAAGTCACCTCCAGTGTTCAACGTTCACATCATCCCAACTGAGGCACTGAAAAGAGTAGAGCTGTAAAAAAAAAAAAAAAAAAAAAAAAAAAAAAAAGCCTTCTTCTACATTGTCCAAGTTTCTGACCCTCAGAATTCATAAGCATAATAAAACAGCTGTTTTGTGCCATTAAATTTGGATTTGTTATACAGCAATAATAATCAGAACATGTGATAAGCATGCTTTTATCATTTCTGACTTTAAGAGAATCTTTTCATCTATCCCCATTTAGGAAGATTGCTGATGATGGTTGGTTGACTGGTTGTTTTTTAAATATTTCTTGACAGTTTAGAGATGTTCCCTCTTTTCTTAATTTGCTAAGCATTCTTATCATGAATTTATGCTGATTATCAAATGATTTTCTGTATCTATTTTAATTATACAGTTTTTCACTTTTAATCTATCAATGTAAATGTTGCTTACATTTATGGATCATTTATTAGTAAATCATCCTTGCATACCTGGGAAAAATCCAATTTGGCAATGATGTTTGTCTTCTTTAAATGTTGGTTTCAATTTGCTACTGTCCTGTTTGGGATTACCAGCTCTATATTAAAAGTGAAATACATCTGTAATTGTCATCTGTTTTGGTGTCTTCATTTGATTTGGATGTCAGGATTATGCTGGGCTTTCAGAACTTGCTGGGGAATTATCCTCTGTTTGTATTAATTTTAAAAGATTGCAACAGATTGGAATAATCTATTCCTCAAAATTTTGGTAGAGACTTATTTATTGGCAAATCACTTGGGCTTGTTGCTTTCTTTGTGGGAAGATTCAGACTTTTAATTTCTCCCTCGGTTTTTACAAGTAATATTTTCCTAGAAATGTCTATTTTTACATAGGTCACATATAATTAACAGTATTCTCATTTTCCTTTTAATCTCTGATTTATGTTATATATCTCTTTTTCATTCTTTATATATTGAATTCTGTATATGTCCATGAACTGTATTCTTCATATATTGTATACCCTTTGCTGACTTTTTTATCTACCAATAACCACAAATGTTAATTTAAAATTTCCCACTTTAATAGGAGAGGTACTAATTTACGTATACCAATCTATCAAATTTTGCTACCTGTTTGATGTTATATATTTTTGGTGAATGTAGTGAATTCTAATAATTTTATGTTGCCTTGGCATACATTTTAAACATGTTTAACTTTCTCATATCAGAAACTGGGCTTAGTCACACTCGACACAGTTTCCAGTTGTCTGCCTCCACCCAGTTCCTCTATGTTGTTGTTCCAGATATCTACCTTATACGATCGCCTCCCAGTAACCACTTCCCTATGGGACAGCTGGATACAACCTACTTGACTCACCCTACTGACTCCCATACCCTGCACGGACTGCCCAGATAAGCTGCAGTGACCATCTCTCAGTCACAGCGTGACCAAGGAAATGAAGTCTGTTTGCTGTAAACCCACTGTATTAGTCCGTTCTCACATTGCTTTAAAGAAATACCTGAGCCTGAGTAATTTATAAAGAAATGGGGTTTAATTGGCCCACGGTTCTGCAGGTTGTACAGGATTGTACAGGAAACAATGTTGGCATCTGCTTGCCTTCTGGGGAAGCCTCAGGAAACTTTCAATCATGACAGAAGGCAGAGGGGAAGCAGACACCTCTTACATGTCAGAAGTAGGAGCAAGAGGGGGGCAGGCGCTACACACTTTTAAACCAGATCTCAGGATAACTTCACTCCTTATCACAAGAACAGCACCACACAGAGGGGATGGTGCTAAACCATTCGTGAGGAACTGTCCCCATGATCCAAGCACCTCCCACCAGGCCCTACCTCCAGCACTGGGGATTACAATTTGACCTGAGATTTGGGTGAGAACACAGATCCAAACCACGTCACCCACAGTTAGAATTCCCTGCAGGGAAACTCTTTGATAACAACCTAGACCCCAATAATGGCTTTGACTCACAGGTTCCTTGCTCTCTCCCTCTCTTTCTCTCTCTCTCTCTCCCCACCCACTGGTGGAGCCTCCAAGTCCCAGATGGCTTCCCCTTTCCCATCTGGCCCTGAGAAACATGCTGCCCTCTTTTCTGTGGGATCCGTAAGTAATATACTGCTTCTGTTATTTCCTATGTTTGGTTGTGCTGCCTCCTCTGTGTCTCACCTGACCAACACATCTAAATCTAACTCCTTTCCTGGTCAGGGCTCTCCTACAGAATAGCTAACTTGTTAAGAATAAACTGGACACAAGTCAGGCAAGCGCCAAAAGGGCACCTGCCAGTATAAACAAGCTTCTTTGTTTGTAATGAGAAGGACATCTGGGTCACATGTCAAACACTTAGGCTGTCCACAGGGATAAAGAAGTATCCTGTGAAAGGCCCATTATAAGCATCATATGACCAAATCCCCTGGCACCCCCTCAGGGCAGGGCTAGAGTTTACAGCCACTTGAGAGACCTCAAGACAAAATTAGAAGAAAAATATGACAGTATATTTAATATGACAGTATATTATAACAACTTTATATGATAACAAGGTGATCAGTCCTAATATGAGTTTTTTTTGTTTCGTTTTTTTTTTTTTTTTTTTTTGAGAAGGAGTCTCGGTCTGTCGCCCACGCTGGAGTGTAATGGCGCTATATCAGCACACTGCAACCTCCGCCTCCTGGATTCCAGCAATTCTCCTGCCTCAACCTCCCAAGTAGCTGGGATTACAGGTGCCCACCACCACACTCAGCTAATTTTTGTAATTTTAGTAGAGACAGGGTTTTGCCATGTTGGCCAGGCTGATTTTGAACTCCTGACCTCAGGTGATCTGCCTGCCTCAGCCTCCCAAGTGCTGGGATTACAGGTGTGAGCCACCACGCCCCGCAAGAACACAGGTATACTTTGAGAAATTCCTCTTCTAGTAACATGCCCTAGAGAAACTCTCACACACGGATACCAAAAGTCTTGCACAAGAATATTCATGGTAACACTGTTTGCAATAGTAAACCCCACAAACAACCCAAATGCGCATCGAGAACTCTAGAGAAAGATGAGGACAGATTAGATTACCTGAGAGAGTTTTTCTTATGGTACAGGAATGAAGGAAATGATTAGCTACTCATATCCTAGAACTATTCTTCATACAAAGCAAAACTGCAAGCTGCCACTTGGGGGAAAGGCAGAAAACCCTCCCACCCTCTGAAACCAGACAAATACCAGGAGTCAGTAGATAGTACACAAATTCTACACAAACTTTTTCAGGAAAAAAGAACAGGAAATGCTTCTCAATTTACTGAAATTTGTTTTATGACCAAGGATATGGTTTATTCTGGTGAAGGTTCCATGCACATATGAAAAGAAAGCATGTTCTTTTCAATAGACAAAAGATAGAGACATTCACCAAAGAAGATATACAAAGGGGATAGCAACTAAGCAAATAAAAAGATGTTAAACATCACCAATCTTTAGAGAAATGGAAATTAAGGCCACAATGAGACACCACCACATACCTACCAGACTAGCAAAAATAAAAAGTAATGACAATACCAAATGCTGGCAAGGATGTGGAGAAAGTGGCTCTTTCAAACATTTGTGGTTTGAAAGATCCACTTTTTCTGGTGGGAATGTAAAACAGTATGATCACTTGGGAAAACAGTTGTTCAGTTTCTTTAAGAATTAAATATATACCTCCTATAAGGGCAAGCAATTGTACTCCTAGGTATTTATCCCAGGAAAATGAAAACTTATGTCCACACAAAAATCAGTACATGATTGTTCATAGCTTTGTTTGTAATAGCCAAAAACTGGAAACAACCAAAATGTCCTAAAATAGGTGAATGGTTAAACAAACTGTGCCACATCTCTACCACTGTAATACTTATCAGCTATAAAAAGGAAAGAACTACCGATACATGCAAGTTGGAGAGATTTCAAAGGTATTACACTGAGTGAAAAAAAAAAGCCAATCCCAAAAGGTCACATAATGCACGATTCCATTTATATAAAAAAAACTTTAAACGTGTCTCTTTTAAAATGTGTTTTGACTTACTGAGTTTTTCCTTCAATTGCTTTACAAATTTATCACCTATCTGCCTTAGCTTCATAACACATTAGTTTAGTATATTTTAGAAACACAAACCAATGACCTGACAGAAGAATAGGTGTTCCCATTTCAGAGAATAAATATAATTTATCTCAGTTTTTTACAGTGGGTGACAAAAATTGTGAGATAAACAAAAAGGAAAAAAAAGTCAAGAAGTAATCAATAAAACTAGACCAAGAGATAATCTATTCGTTAAAGCATTAAGACAAAAACTTTTTAAAAACTGTGATTAATACAAGAATACAGTGAAAACGGTAGAAAACATGCATAAGAGGGAATCAACAGATAAAAGGAAACTATTAGAAAGCGTAAAATGGACTTAGACCTAGTTTTACTCCTAGTAAGAAATATGGCACATGAAACCAAAGATTTATCTTTAATAACTCATGATGACACTGCAGCTTTCAGAGTAAGTATTGACAGAAATACCAATCTGATTCCAAATTTAAACATTCTGCCAATGCCTATGCAAAATTACAAAATTGTTTTATTATAAAGAAAATATATTCCACAGTTACAAGAGCTGGATATTAAATTTTAGTGTTTCTTCTAAATTTTGCTAATATTTGAGCAACACTGTTCTCCAGATTTGTCAAAACAAGATAAAAACAATTTACTATAATCCCCCCACACTGTTTTCATTTTATCTTATCTCCTTCTAGTACTCAAATAAATACATATATATTTTAATTCTACATGCAATTATAAGTTCTTTTTCATTTATTATATAGTCTATAGTTCTAAGTAACAGCCTTTATCATTGTACCCTTCATAATTGTATTATTTACCTGTGTGTTACATCCCATCAATATGACAACAATTTTTCTGGATGTAAAGTCCAAAAAGAGGAAGTTTCAGCATGAGTTTATGTTGGATACACTTTATTATATTTCCTAGCATATAATATTCCATATTACATAGTTAATAGCACAATGATGACTTCACACATTAACATTTTTCTTCTTTTAATTTAATACCTTAATATGAACTCCCAGATATAGAATGATTAGCTCAAAGAGTATGAACACTGCTTGACAGGGTTTACTGCATCACTTTCCACAGGAGCTATACTAATTAATGCCATCACATGCAATTTTTAAAAAATCTTTATACATAAACACATAAATGTTAATTTTAACTTTAAAGCATAAATTAGTAGTCATGTTTCCCTACCTCAAATACCCTCTCCAACTTCCCTCCCACAACATGACAGCTCCATCCATTTGCCCATTAAAATGGTCCAAGTTAACCATCTACTATATACCTCTATTCTCATACATATAAAAATATGTATTCTCATATATATGTCTACATATATAATGGTGTTATCACTACATTTTTTAATTTAAGATGCCACATATATTTTTTTTTTTTTTCCGAGACAGAGTCTCGCTCTGTCACCCAGGCTGGAGTGCAATGGTGTGATCTCAGCTCACTGCAACCTCCGCCTCCTGGGTTCAAGCAATTCTCCCACCCCAGCCTTCCCGAGTAGCTGGGATTACAGATACCCACCATCATGCCCAGCTAATCTTTGTACTTTTGTAGAGATGGGGTTTCACCATTTTGGCCAGGATGATCTCGAACTTCTGACCTCAGGTGATCTGCCCATCTTGACCTCCCAAAGTGCTGGGATTACAGGCATGAGCCACTGTGCCTGGCTGCCACACACATTTTTAATTATCTTAGTTGTTCTCATGTAATAATTCCCCATGCAAATCCCACCAAGTTTACTGGTGCATATCTGATTCATTCTTTTTAATGACTACTAAGATTCTATTATGTAGATATATTATGTAGATACATAATAAATACATTCACAATTCCCCTACTGATAGACATAAATTGCATTTCCAGTTTTTGCCACTAGAAACAAATGCTCATACAGAAATGCTTATATATGGAAGTGTGTTTCTATGAGCTAGATTTCAAAGAGTAAGACTGCACGGTCAACTGGTATAAATATATTTTTTTAATTTTAATAGATATTATCAGATCACTGTCTACAAAGGCTCTAGTAACTCACATTTCTACCAGCAAAATATAAAAACTAATTCTTTCCTTAGGTTCTTGCCAATACAATGTTATTGCTGGTTCTTTTCTCTCTTTCTCTTTCTTTTCATTAAAGGTGGGGGCTGAAGGAGGCAGTATGATAGATACAAGGTTATATATCACACTAGTAAGTTAGAACATCTTTTAATATGTTGTTGGCCATTTGGACTGGCTTCTTCATATCTTTTGCTCATTTTCATATAGTGCTGTTTGTTTCCTTTTTGTCATTATCTAAGAAGTTATTATATAGAACAGATATCAACTCTGTCCTTTCTCTGCACTGTACATATTTTTACCAATTGTTTGTGTGGTATATCTTTCCATTCATGTGTTAAGTTTCATACAAATATATCTTTCTTTATAGGTTGTAGACTTACAATGGGGGTTAAGATTTTCCTCGCCCCAAGAATGTACATGATGAATGATACAGAAAACAAAAAAGGGATTGATATAGGGAAAAAATTAAGAATTAATTAGTAAAAGAGGGCTCATCTGTGGAGCTGATATTAAAGCTGTGACCCAATGTATAAGGATGTAATAATAGTAAAAAGAGTAGAGAAGTCCACATGTGAATATGTTCAAGTCAAAGGAAGAGAGGAGCCGGTCAATTAAGACGGGGATCCCTTCCTATTCTATGATTAAATATTTCAGTGATTTCAAAAATGTATATTCACACATAATAGTTTCCTGTGGCTGCTGTCACAAATTACCAAAACTTGGTGGCTGAAAACAACAGATATTTATTCTCTCACAATTCTGGAGGCCAGAAGTTCAAACTGGGCTGAAATCAAAGAGTTGGGAAGGCTGGCTCCCTCTGGAGGCTCTAGGGGAGAATCCATGCCCTGCCTGTTCCAGCTTCTGATAGCTGCTGGTATTCCTTGGTTTGTAGCCTCATCACTCTAATGTTCAAGGCTAGTATCTTCAAATCTCTTTCTACTCTATCTTCACACTGTCTTCTCTGCTGTATGTCTGTAGATTATGCCTCTGTTTATCTCTTATGAGGACACTTGTGATAGTATTTAGGACCCGCACAGATAATCTAGAATAATCTCTCCATCTCAAGACCCTTAACTTAACCATATCTTCAAAAACCCTTTTCCACACAAGGTAACACTTACAGGTTCCTAAGACCTAATATCTTTGAAGGACATTATTCTGCCTACAACAACTTTTTTTAAAAAATGTGTGTGTGTGTGTGTGTGTGTGTGTGTGTATGTGTAATACACATGTATGTATGTATTAACATAAATGGATGGGAGAAATTAAACATAACTATTAGTGAGGGATATATTTAGAGTTGCATGAAAATCAAAGAAAATAATTAAATCACTTACAATATAATATGAGATACACAAACAAAATTTTAGTGATCTATTTTCCATTTTCATTAGCATACACTACCTTACTTGTATACACTTCTACCTACAATTTTCTATAAAAGAAGTCTCTAAAAAGAGTCCCTACTATATTCAAATAAAACAGATTAAAGGGGGACATAAAATCATTAGCTTTGTAAGGGAGATAGAGATTTGAACAAATTCTTTACTTGAAATGTACCATTATATTGTTACATAAAATAAAAAAGTATTTTTAAACTATTGAAAAATAATCTCACAAACATCATACTATATACCTTTATTATACATCAAAATATATTTTTTCAACAAACTTTGAAACAAAACATTCCATAATGAAAATAAATTCTAATCTGTTTCCATAAACCCGATTTTCACATTTTACGTGGTCCTAAATTGTGGCTCGCCAGTATTTTACAGCTTTCAAACATAGTCTAGCGACTAAAAAGTGACATATTTCACCAAGTGGCTAATTTGAAGGTAACAATGACTACGCATCACTCTATATAATCTGAGACATATTTTAATATAATTTATAAACTTTTATATTTAGTATTTTGGATGCAGAGGTCTCAAATTTTATTTTATATGAAGAAAAGATATATTACCATAAAAATAACAGATACAAAATACTTTACTCGACTAAAATAATGCAAGCCAAAAAATTAAACAGAAAAAGATTACAATACAGCAATAATATTAAATTTATACATTTAATTTTATGCTGCTATTCAAAACATCTATTTATCAAATAACATAAAATCAAGTAGAAATACTCTTCACAGAAAACTGCCTCTAACTTCTAATACATAATATTTATACAAAATGGGAACAAAGTTAATGACTAGTACCAAACAATCACAAAGAGAAAGGGCATTTTCATACTTGTATTAAAAAAAATTCAACATCATCATTAATTATGTTCATTTGATATCAATTAAATAAAATATAGAGATCAAACTTTGATCTATTCTCAGCATCTAACAAAGCATGACACAAACTCAGTGAATTTTGACTAATCTTAGGAAAAGTTATATTTACTTCCAACAGCAAAGCATAGCAAGGTCTACTGAAATAAATGATTTATACTGACAATTTCAGAAAATTTTCAGTTTCTTCAGCTAGCATTCACTGGTCATGAAAAATTGTGTCACTGACAAAATGTTACTGAGAAAATCTGTCCTTTATGATTACAGATGATATAAGACACTATATTTAACAATCCAAGGTAAAATTTACCTCCTCATACACAAAAATAACACTACGCACAGCTTAAGTACCAAAAAAAAAAATACTTATAAATGTCAAATTCATTTTAAATGCTGCCTTCTCAAACATGATACTCAGACCTAGTCCACTCAACAAAATTATCTCATACTGTAGTCTAAAATGTCTGTTACCAGGAATCCAAATGGGATTTGCAGCATGCCAGAAGATTGTAACTCAAATTCATCTATACACATTACTGAGCTTCATTTTCCTCGTCTTTTTTTTTTTTTAATGCTATGCGGCATTAACTGAAACCTAATGGTGGGAGAACAAGAGTTGGATTAATAAATAGAAACTTTACAGTAGTCCTTATTATAATGAAGTTGTGCCCAGCATTCTATCCTTTGTCAGTTTTACTCTCTCTAGTTGTTTCATACTCATTTATAATTTGAATCAGTTAAATGTAGACCTATGTGTTCCTCCATAGTCTTTAACATTGACATCCACCAGAAATATTCTCAGGATTTTAAAAATAAGAATGCCATTAATTATATACACCATTTAAACCTTTGGCAGATTTTAAAAGGCCACAAATTATTTGGTGTGCCTTCTACAGAGAAGCAGTCTATGTCTCCTCCCCTTGAATGTGGGTGAGCTTTGTGGTATCTTTGACCAGTAGCATGGGTGAGATATGTGCCATTTTCTGGGCCCAGGCCTTAAGAAATAGGCACCTTCCACTTCCTGTCTTATGAATACTTAACTCTGGAGAAAACGACCCTCCATATAAGAAATTTGACTATGCTGAGACTACCATGCTGTAAAGAAGCCCAAACTAGCCATGTGGAGAGAGCACATGAAGACAGAAAACACCTAATCAAACTTGCACTCTGCCAGTTATGCAAAGACCAGCAAAATCATTCTCAAATTCCTGACTCACAAAATCATGAGCAAATTGACACAGTTGTTTAAGCTGCTAAGTTTGGGGTAGCTTGTTAAACAGCAATAAATAACAAACAAAAACTGTAATTTTATTTTACAGTATGAACAAACTCCCTATTTATAACAATAGAAAAGAAGACTGACAATTGGTAGCTGTAAGATACTGAAACTTTAAAAAAAAAAAAAACTTTCAAATTATCAACTTACTATCCATGCTACAAGTTCTTTGCATTATCTGCCACATAACAAATTCATGTGTCATGATGTTAACCAATGCTCTCCATTACCTTTGATTCTCACAGTGTGAAGGAAGGGGTAGTGGTTAATAAGACAAGACCTAGCACTCATGCTCCCATTAGCTGAACTGTATACTATCAAGAAACAGTTATTTTTGTTTCCAAACATTTTTATCTGGGTTATGTCTATTAATGTATAATTTCACTAAATATCTTTAAAAATCTGTAAGATAGCAGCAGAAGTAGTTGTTTCCATGAAAAAGTTGACTATTTGTAACAGTTTGATAAGGACCACTTGCTTTTTAAAAAAATTCTGTCAAGTACAAGACTATAAAAATTTAGGACAATCTCCACTGAGACTATTTTGCAACTGTCTCACTACACTTAGAAATTAAAGAGGATATTTAAAGGTGTGATTTAAGAAAAATTTACAATAAATTCCAATAAGGAGACCTGTGTTCATAGAAAAGATTTGGGTCTAATACCAAAAGGCTACACTACAAATATGTTATAAAGCATGTACATATCATTTTCATGACTATCCATTTTAGCCAAAAATATTTTTATAAACTTAATTATGGGACCAATTTAAATGGATAAAGGAGCTAATATTATAATCCCTTTTTGAAAAATGCTTTTTAAATTAAGAAATAATGATGAAGTTTCCATTTTGCAAGATGAGTTCTGTGGATGCATGATAGTGATGGCAGCACAACAATGTAATTTACTTAATGCCACTGAACTGTACACTTTAAAATGGTAAAGATGATCAATTTTACCGGTATTTTACAATTTTGAAAAAATAAAGATGATACCAAGAGTTAAGCAATACATATTTGACTTATATCCCAGAATGAACTGTTAGCTGTTTCAAAAGCACTGTTAAAGTAACAGAGGCTCATGTCTATATAACCTTATCTAACAATACGAAAAAAAAAATGTGAGTTTAAAAACTAAGTAAGAATAGAGTTTCTTCCTCCCAAACCTGAAAGATGATCTTCTCAGAGAAGTCAGGGTTCAATAATTAGGACAAAATTGACTTATGCTAACAAAATAAATAAATGAAGATTTTAATTTCCAGATTAAACTGGACCTTGTATTCACAAAGCTATTCCAATATTCAATATTCAAAGTATCAAAAGAACTACTTCCTATTTGGGTCAAAAAAGGATATTGTAGGTATTGTCACTTTACATAGATTCTTCTTTAATCTCTGAATTAAATATTAACATTCACAGAAATTTTCTCACCAATAACAAGGAGATGTTCTCTAACATTTTTCACTACACTATTCAAAAAGGCTTCACAAATATAATAAATATCAAAAACATGTTGGATAAATTAAGCCAGTAATAGAGAATACATGTTATAAAATTTCATCTATATGAAGTTCAAGAATAGGCAAAACTAATATATGTAACAGAAATCAGAAGAGTAGACACCAGGGGTTGGGGGAGAATGGTATGGAGAAAGATAGACTACAAGGGGAATGAGGGAATTCTCTGAGGAGATCGAAATGTTTGTATCTTGACTGGAGTATTGTTACACAGGTATATATTTATCAGAACTCAGCACACGATACACCCTCTATCTGTACATTTTGTGATATATGTAAATTACACATTAATTTTTTTAATGGAGGGTTGGGGAAAAAAAAGACTTAGGAAATCAGTTAATTCATGAGATGTATCCCCTGAAACAAAAACCAGTAATGATATTTTTTTTTTTTTTTTTTTGGAGATAGAGTCTTGCTCTGTTGCCCAGGCTGGAGTGCAATCTCAGCTCACTGCAACCTCTGCCTCCTGGGTTCAAGTGATTCTCCTGCCTCAGCCTTCTGAGTAGCTGGGATTACAGGCATGCACCAACACGCCCAGCTAATTTTTGAGTAATGGTATTTTTAACACAAGAATTATCACATAGAGCAGTTTACTGAAACATAAATTGCTAGTTGGTAACAGAACAAGACATACCATCATTTCTGACCGTTCAGTCATAACAGTTTTAAAGATGAATAAAACATCACCACTCTTGATTACTTAAAACTAAATTAACAAGGTATCTCAAATGACCACAAAACTTAGCTTCTCTAAGTTCATCCCTGTTTTTCTATTGTCTAATTCCTCCCCTCTAATTCAGATCAATCTAATTTAATTCAACAAACTCATTATACTTATCCTATATTAGTTGTTATGTGAGAAGCTAAGTACAATAGAATACAAAGATGAATTTATAGTAACCCCTATGCTCAAGGCACTTATAATCTAGTTGATGGCATCACACAAGTACATAATAGCTACAAGAAAAGACTTCATGGTACCTGCAATATTCAAACTGAAACCCTGTGCAATTCAGACAAGTAATTAGAAAAGTGAAAAAAAAAATTTTTAAGTAAAGCAAAAGACCAGTAAGAGGCTTGTGCTCTAAACTTATCCCTCACTCTTCACATTTACTACCACTGCAGGAAAATTCCATAAATATCACTGTATTATGTGTTTCCAAGAAATTTTCAAATGCAAATAAAAAGAATCTCCTACATTTTTATAAATAAAAAAACAGAAAACCCATGGTCACAATTCTACAGGTAGATATATAAAATGATCCACCATATTTTTTATAAAGGATATTCAGTTTGATTCAAACCACTGACATCAATGTACCTGGCAGTGTATGGAAAATCACAGATTTCAGACTTTCTGGAGTGAATTATCCTACTTTGAAAGTCTAAAATTAGAATTATGAAGCGACAGAAAATATCACAATCTAAATTCTGCTTACACAAAACCACATAGTGTTCAATGCCAAGTTCCTAATTTACAGCTGGGAAAATCACCATTGAAGATAGCTGTGCCTGAATCAGATTCACTTAACATAAAACCAGATGTAAACTTCAAATTATATGTGATATCTCCAGCCACTCATATAAACAAGAATAAAGTGAACTGAAAGACAGTAAATTCACCTAGACCTTTCTAAATCTGGCCACCATAATACTACAATATTCCTTTCTTAAAATTATCTAATAAATTATTAATAGAAGAAAGGAGGGGGTAAAAACATGTGCATCTTCATTTAAGTACAGTTAAAAATCTAAAATTACCCAATTATAAAGTCTTTTATAAAAAGCAGAAAATTCTCAATCCTGAAATACACTCTTCACTTTTAAAATACAAAGAAAACCCACTAGACTTTTAGGAAATCAAGTCTTAGCATGCCATCTCAAAACTCTTTCCCAAACAACTTGTCACAAATGAACAGGAACAAGCTGTACTAAGGATGTACAAAGATATTTCTTTAGTTGTTTGCTTAATCAGCTATTGATGTCCCATCATAAATTAAGAAACCAAATGTATGCCAACAGAAGTCTGTCTGCAACTACAATATTACTTTATATTATTTGGCCCCAGAAGTTTGGAACCTATGGAAAGTCCATTTAAAAAATTTACCTGGCATGTAAATGCTAGAATATTTTGTTTGCCTTTTGAAGCCACACCAGATTCCAACCCACAGAGACAGGATTTCCAGTTTATTTCTCACAACCCACATGTACAAACCCAAAATTACAACATAGAAAAGTATCATTAGAAATCTGTAATAGTAAAGAAAAGAAATTCACCACAGAGCTCTATTTCTTAGAGCCTCTAGTATAGTGTCCTATCAAACATTTCACATCTAAATTAAACACTCAAACACAGAAGGCTCACCTTGATACTCTAATGTAAGAGATCTGGCTTTATAATGTAAAAGCTAACCTAGCTTGAACACTGTAAATTAAATAATGGCATAAAGGCCAGGTACAGTGGCTCATGCCTATAATCCCAGCACTTTGGGATGTGGAGGCAGGCAGATCACTTGAGTCCAGGAGTTCGAGACCAGCCTGGGCAATATGGTGAAACCCCATCACTACAAAAAAATACAAAATGTAGCTGGGCCTGGTAGTACACACCTGTAGTCCCAGTTACTTGGATGCTGTTGCAGGAGGATCACTTGAGTCCAGAAGGTGGAGGCTGCAGTGAGCCATGATCACACCACTGCACTCCAGCCTGGGTGATAGACCCAGACCCTGTCTCCAAAAAACAAAAAGCATAATTTCTTTAAAAAAAATCAAATACATAATTATTACAGTTTAATAACAGTATATCTCATATTCAATTATTTGTAGAAATTAGCCTCATGCTTCTGTGTAGGCACCTATTTCCAGTGACTTCAAGAAATATGCATGTAGCTATTGACCTATTGCAACCACACCATTTCAGAAACATTGAAATTTAGTACTCAGTTTTGCTCCTACTAGTAAATACCACTATTTAATATTATGTCCACTCACTGCTGCACATAATTCAAACCATGCAAACATCACTACCAAAGTTATCAAAGCTTTTAATACTACCAAAAGCCAAGAAGCAAAAATATGCCCCCCAAAACTTGCTTACCCAGAATATATGGAGGATTGAGTTTTCAACTTAATTTAAGAAGCACTATCAAAAATACATTGGCCAATTTCCCTGCCTTAGGCAATGAAGTACAGAATGACCCCAGATTACACATATCCTTTATACATAAATGGACATTAAGGGAATGGAAAGGATATATTCCCAAAATACACTGAGATTTCCATCTTCTCTTTCCATCTCTCACCCTCAGAAGTACAATGCAATGTTAAAGTAATACTTGTGGTTAAAGAATCATTTCTGAGAAGAATGAATAATGAAAAGTTTAGCCTTGATAAAAAGTCAACAAAGATAAAGAACAGGTATCTTCAAATAGGGTAAGACAGAACTCTTAGCTGATATAATGAAAAGCTCTTGGCTCACAAGGTCCATAATAAGTAGCATCTCTTAATTTTGTCAACCCAAAACCCTTCCTCCAAACCTTCTTCTAGCCACAAACACAGACAATTAGTCCAACGTGAGCTAAAAAAACCAAAATATGTCCCCATCATTAATAATCAGTCTTAGGGATAGGAAACTGACTCAAGCTGGATCCATCAGAGTCCTTCCCTGGGATGTTTCCAACTAGAGATGGAAGAAGAAAAGCTCTGTTTCTCTCTGATCACAAAACTCTCCTTTTCTACTAAGTTCTAAACTCAACTGCCTTCTCTTACTTCCTCAAACATGCAAAAGTTCAGTCCCATTTTAGAAATCTTGCCTTAGCCAGTCCCTGGAATGCTCTTCCTCCTGATGTTTACATGGCTAGCTATTTCTTCTGATTCGTATCTCAGCTTTAATGTCTCTTCTAGACAAAGGCTTTCCTAAAGTAGTCACTTAATTACTGTCACATCACTCTATTTTAATTCTCTGCATAGCACTTACCACTTTAATATTCTTCTTTTTTATGCTCTCTGCTGTATTTCTAACACCTAGAATAGTATCTGGCTCAGGATATGCACTCCATTCATAATTTGTTGAATAAATCAATAAAAGCTATGAAGAAATTAGCCCAAAGCCAGCAGCAGCCATGATCCTAGCTCCAGAAAGAAGCCAGTCTGAAAGAGTAAAGCCATTTAAAAAAAAAAAAAGCAGCAGCAGCAATGAAAAAAGTAGAACCCCCAGAGCTATCTACAGTCATCTCTAAGACCAGCTCCAACACTGCCCATAATACAGTTTGATTACATATATAGGTGGCCTTTAAAATGGTATGTATACACCTCCCTGAGAAGAGGGATGTGTAAGACAATCCACCAGAATGTAAGAAGAAAAGACTACAATACATAAAATAAGATACTTTTATGTTGTACTATCCTTTGAAAAGTGCCATACTCTGTGTTTTATAATGTACATAATGTATTGTTATAATCATATATGTACAAAATGTACAGATAAATATACCCACACTGAGGATGTATCCTCAAAAATGTATTCTTGGTAGAGGTGAACAATCAAAAAGTCTGGAGACAATCAAAGTTAAAGAGCAAATTTATTTCTTTTAACCTAACATGTTTCAGCTTTCTTTCATTTCCAACCAAGAGACTTCTGAAATGTGCTTAACACATACTTGGTACCCAAATACTTGAAAATGCTGAATGCAGAGACTAACTCTTTATGGGTCCAGAGA
The DNA here is from genome assembly GCF_000001405.40 of Homo sapiens. NCBI lineage: Eukaryota > Metazoa > Chordata > Mammalia > Primates > Hominidae > Homo > Homo sapiens. Next base: position 28,228,658 of record NC_000012.12, on the reverse strand, counting down.
ACAGACAAATGAAAGTTAAAGGTAGGCAGATTTCAAACCTGTATGAAAATAACTTTCTAAAATTTAGGTCTGTCCACAAGTAATCACTGGCTCTCCAACTATAAATTTCCCACTATTAGAAGGGTTCAAGCAGAAGCCTGGTTACCATCGATAAGAATTCTGTATTCGTGAGGTAATCTATGCAACAAATGTTAACAGAGTGAAAATACTAAGTGCTAGGAATCATACAATGAATTAAATTAAGTCCTTATGTCCTTGGATATCACAGTTTAATAGAAAGACAGACTTGCAAACGTATATATAGTACACAATATATCTATGCAACAACTGAGAAAGATAGTAATTTACTCTTCATGGGTGAGGATATCTAAGTTAAATACTATGAATAAGTAAAAGCCAGTTTTCCTGTTCGTCAAAAAAGATAAGCACATTCCTGGCAAAGACATAGCCAAAAGGACAGGTTTATAAAGCACATAGTATGGCAAACCAAAAATACCACAAATAATGCGGAATTGTTGAATGATAAGGTACCTATGGTGGGAGAATAACTACAAATGAAGTTACTAGATAGGTGGCTAGAAGCAAAATTATGAAAAGTCATGATAAGGAGTTTGGAAGGAGGCAAAGAACAATAAAAATAACTGTCTTTTAGAGTGTACTACTTTGTTCCAGACACACTCCTAAACTCTTTAGACACGCTATCACTTTTAATCCTTAGAAAATTTCTATATCACCTCCTCTTTTTCAATAAGAAAACAATGCTATAGTGAGATCAAGTAATTTACCTAAAATCAGTTAGAGGCAAACACAGAACTCATTGAAGAATTCTGAAAACAGAAATAAGATGTATTTTGAATAAGTGACATGCATAATAGAAAAAAATGGCTATAAGGCAATGTAGATAACAGTGTGAAAGTAGAATAGGCTAGTTTGAGGGAAATCTATGCAATAAACTAATAATCCAAAGTAAGAGGTAATAAGGGAGTGTGAATAAGGAAAAGGAAAACTAAAGGATCCCATCGGTTTCTACCTTCAGTAAGTGGGAAGAAAAAGCAAGTTTGGGTACAAAAAGGCATAAAATGAAGTAGATGAGGTGTAGAATAATTAGTTTGGGCTTAGACAATATGGACACATTTGAGTTCGAGGTTTCAATAAAAGAAAGACCAAAAGGAAAAGGTCTAATAGGAAGTTGACTAGAAAGAGAAAGAGTTCAAAAAAAGAGGTAGAAAGAATCGCTAGGATAAACATATTTAGAAATCACCAACATACATCAACAATTTTAAAACTGGCCAAGCCAAGTAGAAAATAAATATCCATGGTCATCATCCATGCAGAAGAATTCCAAAAAAATCTATGTAGCTACTTCACTATCAAGAAGGTGGAAAATAACTCCCCATCAAGTGTGGTCTGCACATAGTGACTTTGTTGCAAAGAGTACAATACAGAATAAGAGAAAAAGAATAACTTTCCAGTGAAGAAGCCTAATAAAAACCACCTTAGCCAAATGATCAAAGTAAACATCAACAATGATAAGTCACAATAAGTCACAGCTTAACAATGATAAGTTGATAGTAAGTACCCTTGATACAATGTGATAAAAATGGCACTTCACCTCTATGCTCTTCCTCCTAAAAACCCTAACCCCAGTCTAATCATGAGGAAAAACATCATATCAATCTCAGCTGAGGAATAACCTACAAAATGTCTGACCAATACTCCTCAAAACTGTCAAGGTCATCAAAACCAAGTAAAGTTTAAGAAACCACCACAGCCAGGAAATGTCTGACCAATACTCCTTAAAACTGTGAAGGTCATCAAAAACAAGTAAAGTTTAAGAAACTGTCACAGCCAAGAGCAGCCTAAGGAGATATGACCACTAAATGTATGATAACCTAGACAGTAACCTGGAACAGAAAAAGGGCAGTAGATAAAAATAAAGGGAATATTAATACAGAATGGACTTTAGTTAATAATTATGTATAAATATTGGCCATTCATTTAAACAAATGTACAATAATGTAAAATGTTAATAAAAGGTATGAGGTTTCTGAGAACTCTCTATATTATTGTCATAATTTTCTATAAAGATAAAACTGTTCTAAATAATAATGTTTATATTTCTAAGTAGGCCAAGAATAAAACCACAGAAAACCATTACTATTCAAGAGATAAGCAGAGGAAAATAGGTCAGTAAATAAAATTTAAAAGGTATGACCAGAAATACAGAAAGATATAGACAGATCTAACATATGTCATAGAGGTCAAAGAGGATAAGGAACAAATAGAATCCACAGAATTTAAGACGTCACTGGGAAAAGAAACGAGGTGGAGCTACAAGGATATGAACCACGACTTTGTTATTCACCCAGTTAAAAATCTCATAAAAGATTCTCCTAGTTTCCAATCTATTAATAGTCTTCCCTGTTCCAGTCACAACCATTTAATCGCCAAAAACCTACCTCATAATGAATCTTCATTCACAAGTAAAGTATTAGATGCATGAGACAGAATACTTTCATCTGGAAGTAACAGAAAATTCCAAAATAAAACTGGTTAAATCAATAAGGAGATGTATAACTAGTATCTCACATAACAAGAAGGCCCAAGGTAGAGCAGTCTTTAAATACTGCAAGTCAGAGCTTCAGAAATTCTAATTCCCTTGGCTCTGGCCTCCTATATTTAGCTTCACCAACAGGCTGGAAGCAAGATGACAAAAATATTTTGAGATTGTGATCTGCCCATCCTTAAACCTGCTGCCAGCAAAGAAAAGGAATTACTATGTTTCACTTAGACTTACCAGAATTAATCCTGGAACTTGGAATGAGGTCTCCTTTCTCTGAGTCACATAAAGGAGGGTTAGAAGCCTAAACAAAACAAAGGATCTGTTAGAAAGGTAGTGGGAGGCTGGGCGTGGTGGTTCACATCTGTAATCCCTGCACTTTGAGAGGCCAAGGAAGGCCGGATCACCTGATGTCAGGAGTTCGAGACCAGCCTGGCCAACATGGCAAAACCCCATCTCTACTAAAAATACAAAAATTAGCCAGGTGTAGTAGCAGGTGCCTGTAATCCAAGCCACTCTACTCCGGAGGCTGAGGCTGGAGAATCACTTGAACCCAGGAGGCGGAGGTTGCAGTGAGCCGAGATCATGCCACTGCACTCCAGCCTGGGCAAAAAGAGTGAAACTCTGTCTCAAAAAAAAAAGGGGGTAGTGGGAAAAGGGGTAATGCTAAATAGGCAGTCAACAGCAGCCAATACAGGAGGTTCTTATTTGCATGTTTTTCTAGCTCAAGAACTTTTAAAAATTACCTTAATATGATGAAGAAGAGATTCAAACAAAATAAGGGCCATACAATTTCCTTCCTAAAATAACCAAATGACAACCTCAGATACTATCAGTACTGTTTCACAGATCAAGGGGGAAAATGGCACAAGAATTTATAAGTTTTCTCTCATCACTCCAATTTTATATTGCAAAAATACAATGTATTTGGATATTTTCAAAGCAGAATCTTGTATCTTACACTTTAAACTCTTATTTTGTTGGAATAGGATGAGAAGAGATCCCAAGGTAGTGGAAAGAGCACTAAACTTGGCATCAGGGCATGGGGCTCTAGTCCTAATTCTTCAACTAAATTACACCATTTTTGAAGATGGTCACCTAATATCTAGGGTCCAATTTCCTCCTTTCTTAAATAAGTAAGTTAGGAGAGATGATCTCTCAAGTCTTATTCCTGGTTATTTCCTAATTAAAAATAATATTCACTTGTTAGCTAGAAAATTTACACAGATTATTTACCGTTGTAATTCTGCGCTAGCCAATTCCTAAAGATCCACTCCAAGACTATGGGCTGTTGACACATTAAGCTTTTTCCTACAAAACTTCACTTTCACAAAAACTTTCACTGTGGCCAGAAATGTGAATAGCATGATGTTACAACTTCTGAAATAACTCAAGAATTTAATTCAATTTCTCTTTAAACCCAAGTTCATTATTAAAGATTTCAGTGTACCTACAGATGCAAACCCTCCCTGTTGGACAGGAAAACGCAAAATGACAAAAACTTAACCACTTTGAGATTCAATTAAAGACAAGATTTCTAACCACTAAGCCTAAATGAGGAAGAAGATGAAAATCAAAGCACAATGAAAAAGCTGGAATCACAAACAAGTCACAAACAGAAATGGAAATTTCTATACAGAGAGAAAGAAAAAGGGAGGAAATACTCCCCCCTATACCAGTATATAAGCCTAGAAGAAATTAAGCCTAAAAGTCTCATGAGTTTCTCTTAAAAACTATTGATTTACACAAAATGGACAAAAATAATTTCCAAAAATAGGTTGATGACAGTAGAAACATGCCCTTTGGGAACCTCAGCTTAATAAATTGTTGGTAAAGCAGACCCAAAATCATATGGGATGACTCTGGATAAAACCCCATGACTTAAGCCAACTGCATTATGACCTGGAGTTGGTTTTTCTCAAAATTATTAATAATGAAAAATACTTACACAGGATACACATGTATTGCCAGGAAAAAAAATGTACTTCTTTGAAACAGTTTTTAAAACAACCAACCACCCACAGAAACCACATGGGCACAAAATGAAACGATTCTGGTCACTGATTTGTGGAGCACTTAAGCATTCCCCAAGTAAAAGACTCCGCTTTAGGCTTTCTGAGACAAGCAGACTATCCATGAAAATACCTGATTTAGAACTACCAAGGAAACACTGCAAACATACCTCCAATGGCCTGAGTTTCAAGAGAAATAATTTTCTCCAAGGAGAATCTTACAGTTTTAAAAGCCTACTTCTTTTAAGAAGACATTTCTTTTCCTCACAGTAAGACTCTAGATAAAGCTTAAAAATTGGCTCTGAAGATAAAATGAATTAAATTAAATCTAACTCAAAAGTGCTTAACGCTACAATAGTATAAGTTAACACCTCCTAAAACTGATTTTGCATCAGTAGCAGCATCACTAATACATTACAATTACTCAATTTATCAAATTACATAATAATAGCCTAGTGAGATATTACATCAGATATAAAATATTGAGGTAAGTTTCAAAAGAGAAAGGAAGAAATATACAGGAGACAATATTGTTTAAGAGACAGTCAAAAGGAGAAAGCAAGAAATGAGTGCCAGGTAGTTGCACCAGAACGCTAGAAGCTAAGTACACTGAACAGGTATAGAGACTCAGAAAAAGGAAGCCAAATGAAACCACAGTCAGGCTAGCATGTAGCATTGCCTAGAGTATAATGCAAAGATGACAAAGAAACTCATTTACATATGGAAATATCAGACAGGTACTAGATATGTTAACAGAAAACAGAAAGTTTACCTTGACCCTCAGCATCACCAACTGTCCACCTACTCCTTTAAGTAAATAAGTAAAGGATTATCTTTAACCATGGCTTATATTGTCCCTACGAGAGATAAGAACACCATAAAACCCAGAAACATGCAAGAGCTGCAAGTTCACCTTTATGTGCAAACACAGGCTTCATCACACTTTCAATTTCCTGCCATATTGCCACTAAAATTGACTAGGTTTTTTCCCCCTCTACTTTGGTTTTATGTAAGGTGCTGACTTCACCCTTGGATAGGCTGGCGAAGCTCACCTTGTCAGACCCTGCATACCCTTAAAGAACACATATAATTTCCAGAAGAAATAAGAAGAATGGAAAAATAGATGAGTTCACAAAAGAAACAATTTTAAATTCTATGTATCTATAGTCTTCAACCTTTAGAGATGATATTACTGGTGGTATTTGTTACCACATATATAAATCCTAAAAAGACCAAAGTACTAAGAGCCACCCAAGTGCAGTTGTAGCTATCTTATATAGTTCCAACACAACGAAAAGGATAATAATGCCAAGGATGAAAAGCCCTAGGATTGTCACCTACTCAGAAAGAATACAGATTTAAAAAATGACCAAATTAGATCCATTTCAGAAAACGAAAAGGGAAATTCTATAACTATACTGAGGATCTCTAACTAACCAAACATAAAATTTGTACACCAAAATTCATTCTATGGTAAAACAACTGTATTCTAAGTAGCAGCTGAATACCATGATTTATTATGGATACAGAAGTAAGAAATGCCTGGTTTTTCAAGGCTTAGTAAAAATAGGAAGTGAGAAGTCTAAAATATAGGAACTACCAAAAAATATAGTACATATCCCTAGTGTATACATTTTATGCAAAGATTTATAGACAGGGTGACAAGATTTACTTTATAAAGTATCATAAAAGATGAACAGAGTAAATGAAAAATTAAAACATATACTTCCTACATATCACCAATAGCTTACTCACAGACATCTCACCAGCACCAGCACCACCACCACCACCGCCACCCCTGTGGTTCTACACTGTGGTTACTTCAAAGTAAAATTATGATAAAGGTTGGAAGGAAATATGAATTACAGTATACAGATAGCATTTAACTTCCAACCAAAGTGGAAACACAGAGACCAGATTTAACCTCTAGTTTCTAAGCAACTAGAAAAATGAACAATAGATGAGAAAAAGCAACTAGAAAACTGAACAAAGGATGTACAAGATGAAATAATGATGTTCAAGTACTGGACAACAGCACAAAATTGTGATTCCCAAAAGAAACGAAACAAAGTTATAACTCCCAAACTTACAAACTGGAGTCAGTTTCCAGGCCAAAGAGTATGGTGGGGGAAGCCAAGTAAAACTGACCTCTCACTGAGCTAAAGGGGCAGAGTTAAGAGTTCACAAAGCAGCTAAAATTTACAAGTCCAAGCATCTGAGAAATAGAGCTCCAGAGAAAGAAAGGTCTTCTCAAGTCTTAAACTGAGTTCTAACCTACATAAACGTGGGAGAAAATTACCCAAGGACAGGAAAAGAACAACAAAAGTGAGTGAACAGATTATCTGGAGTTCACACATAGCTGGCAAGAATTTGTATTCCTATCAGTCAGAGTGGATAAACCTAGTAATATATGGAGCATTCAGCTGAATCCTCAGGAGGGTATCTCCTTAGTAGTGGGGCTGTATTAGACCTAAACAAAAGGCTGCTCTGGAGCCATGCTAACAAATCTTAAAAGTAAGCCTCAAAATAATCCAACTGATTGCTAGTGACATAACAAAGAGTCAGAACAAAATACAAAACTATTTAAAACAACAAAATTCAGCAATCAACAAAAAACAATTCAAAATGCCTGAGATCTAATAAAGAAATAACAGTCATATAAAGAATCAGAAAACTATAACGCATAACCAGGAGAAAAATCACTTGATAGAAACAGACACAGAAATGAGAGAGATGGAGAGAATCAGCGGACATAAAAGCAGCTATTATAAATATGCTTTATAACTTTTAAGAAAGCAGAGAAAAGGTCATGATGATGAGAGGCATGGAAGATATAAAAAAGTTTCAAATGAAACTTACAGAGGAGAACTTTGAAACAAAAAACATAAAAGATGAGATTAACAGCATATTAAACACTGTGGAAGATCATGAAGTTAAAAAAACAGCAATAGTATAACTATTCAAAATAAAGTACAGAGAGGAAAAAATACTGAGAAAAAATGGATAATTTCAAGTGGTCTAAAACATGTGTAACTGGAGGCCCCCAAAAAGGGAAGATACAGAAGAAATTATTTTAAAAGTATGGCTGAAAATTTTCTGAATTTCATGAACACTATAAAACCAGAGACCCAAGAAGCTAAAGAATAGCGAGAAAGAACAAACATAAAGAAATCATACTAATGCGCATCATAATCTAATTACAGAAAACTAATACAAGAGAATATTTGTATTTAGGCCAGAAAAAAAGAACACATTATATACAAAAGAACTAAAATAAGAATAAAAGTAGGCTTATTGCCAGAACCATGTAAAACAGAATATAATGGAGATATGTCTTTCAACTTAAAGAGGAAAAAACACATGGCAGTATAGACTTCTTTGCCCAGAGAAAATACCTTTAAAAATTGAAGAGGAATTTTTTTTTTCAGATAAACAAAGGGTAAGAGAATTATTTGCCACCAGACCTGTACTAAAAGAAATATTGAGGAAATTTCTTCAGGGAGAAGAAAGACAAAAACAGATTGAAATCTGAATCTACACAAAAGAAATTAGGAGTCCCAGAAATAGCAAACAGGTGGGTAAATCTAAAAATTTAAAGATAACTGAATATATAAAGTAATAATTTAAAAAACATATTGTTGGCTTTATAGAATATGTAGAAGTAAATTGCATATCAATACCACAATGAGAGATGAAATAAAAGCATATTGTTGTGAAGTTCTTACACTGTACATAAAACGGAAAAATATTGATAAGTGGACTAATACGTTAAAGATGTATATTGTAGACATTACAGCATTTAATTAATTAATTAATTAATTAGCAAAGATATACACCTAGGAAGTCCATAATCGGTCTAAAATGAAATCATTAAAAGCATCCTCAAACCCAATATAAATCAGTAAAGAAGGAAAAAAGCAGAAGGAAAAAAAGGAAAACAAATAGTAAAATGATATATTTAAACTCAACCATGTAATGATAATTGCATTAAGTGTAAGTGGTCTAAACAACTAAATTTAAAAGCAGACACTGCAGACTGAATGATAAAGCAAGACCCAACTGTATGCCACATACAAAAAAACCACTTTTACTATGAAAACACAAAAGAGATAAAATTAAAGGGTTGAAAAGATACACCATGCAAACATCAATCAAAAGAAAGTTGAAATGTCTATATTCATATTATACAAATTAGAATATTAAAGGGAGAAATTTCATAATGACAGATAAATTAATCAAGATACTATAATATTCAAATGTATACATATCTCCTAAGCTTTGATGAACTGTACACTTAAAAATGGTTACAATGGGGGCCGGGCGCAGTGGCTCACGCCTGTAATCCCAGCACTTTGGGAGGCCAAGGCAGGAGGACCATGAGGTCAGGAGATGAAGACCATCCTGGCTAGCACAGTGAAACCCCGTCTCTACTAAAAAAATACAAAAAATTAGCCAGGTGTGCTGGCAGACACCTGTAGTCCCAGCTACTTGGGAGGCTGAGGCAGAAGAATGGCATGAACCCAGGAGGCAGAGCTTGCAGTGAGCCCAGATCATGCCACTGCACTCCAGCCTGGGTGAAAGAGTGAGACTCCATCTCAAAAAAAAAAAAAAAAAAAAATGGTTACACTGGTAAATTTTGTTATGTATATTTTGCCAAATTTTAAAATTAAAAATGTATACTGTTGAGAATATATAAAAAGGCAAGCCACAGATTGGACTAAAATATTTGACAAACCTATCTGAAAAGGTCTTATATCCAGAATATAAAAAGAAAGCTTACATATAAATAATAAGATAACCTAATTTTTTATTGGTAAAATATTTTAATAGACACTTTATAAAAGATCTAATAATCTCAATTAAGCACATGAAAAGACGTACAACATCATTAGAAATTAGAAAAATGTAAATTAAAACTGAAATGCAGGTACCAGTACAATCTACTAAAATGGCTACTTAAAAAGATTCACAATATCAAGTGTTGGTGAGAATATGGAGCACCTAGAATTCTCATGTAACCTAGTGAGAATGTAAACTGATACAGCCACTTTGGAAAAGTTTGGCAATTGTGTATAATGTTAAACATACACTTGCCACACAACCCAAGAATTCTACTCCAAGCTATTGACCTAAGAGAAAACATATGTCCACATAAAGACCTGTCAGAGAATGTTTAAAACTAGAAACAATTCAAATGTGTATCAACTAGTATATGGATAAAGGAATAATGGTACATCCATACAATGTTACTCAGCAATTACAACGAACAAACCTATTTATATATGCAACAATATGAAAGAATCTTCATTACACCAAGTCAAAGAAACCAAATACGTACACACACACATACATACATACACACACACACACACACACACACACACACAAACATCTGCAATGTTCCTTTTATATTAAATTCTTGAAAAGGCAAAACTTCAGTGACCAAAAGCAAATCAGTGGTTGCCAGGGACCAGAGGTGGTGGGACGGGGTCTAGTCTTATGAGGCACAAGGGAACATTCTGCAGTGATTAAATATTCCATATAATATGGTAGTGGTTTCTCATATGTAAATATTTGTCAAAGTCATCAAATTACATACTTAATATTGGTGATTTTTTTTTTTAATTTTGTCTTCCAGCTTGAGGAGTTATTGGTGATTTTAATTGTTTATACACCTAAATTTAAAATGATTTTTAAATCACTATGATATACAGAAAGAAGTAATGAAAACGAGCTTTCTATTAGAGACTTTTATCACAGCCTCTATGCTTGTCACTAGTGCTAAATCCCTTCCTCTAGCAGGAATGGGAGTAGAAAGATCACAGTAGACCAACAGTCGAATGCGCATTCCCTTGAAAGCCCAGAGAAAAAGATTATCTCTTAGGCAGAACTACAGTAGCTACCAAAATCAAAAGGGGAAAGGAGTAAGATATTAGGGGAAAAAGATGTGCAATGTGTATGTAAAGTGTCTCAGGCAAGTAAGCTTAAAAAAAGGATATCTAAAGGGATCAAACACGGAGGATGGAGGAAGTGAGAACAGAGCAAGGAGTCACCAAACTAGAAAATGAATGAGACTGGAACAGGAGGGGACAGTTATAATAGGTAAACAGGAAGACAACCTTAGATGATAAGTAAGAAAAGGATGTCACCTACATCAAGATTTTTTAAGCTCTCTACAGTAAACCAGGCTGCCACGGATAGTGAAAGTTATCAGGTTCTTCCAAATTATAATCATCTTTCTGCTTAGTAAAAGTCTGTATCTTACTTTTAATTTGAAAATAAGAGCATACCACCACCCTGCATCCAAACTAAAGCCTTATTTTTTTTTTCAGGTAGTTACATAAAATAATGATTACATAGAGTTTTATCCTAGCCTGCCTAGGGTCGCCTTCATCATGCCCATACTTACCTACTTCTCCCACTCTGCTGTTGGTAATCTATTCCTACCATGAAATCCTACAGTCCTTTCACAATTTGGTTCATATTTACCTTTACAGTCTTGTCTTCTGCCTTTCTCCAGCAATTCTAAAAATTCTGTCCCTTTGTGGCACAGAAAAATAATTAATAAATGCTTAATATCTTTTGATTCACTTACTGACTTCAACTTCTCAAATACATGGGAAAACATCTGAAGTCTACCTATAAAAATGAATACAAGCTTGAGCAGTCAGTTCAAAATTGCTGTTTCGGAAAATTTCCTAAAATTTTTCCACAAGCTACGTATAACTCAAATATGTTCAACTAAACTTAGCTCATTTGCAAACTACTACCACCCCAGGATATTTAAAGGATATAATGAATTAAAATTTTCAAATATGTGTGTTTACATATACATATATTCTGTGTGTTTACACGTACACATATTCAATTATGTATTCTAATCTGTTCTAGCACCTCTGTTGTCAGTACCACAATACTACCATCTTGCTCATTTTTGCATATTTCCTAGTAGCATGTTAAGAGATTAGTTCGGGCCGTAATTTCCTTATTATAAGGGAAGATGTGTACACTATGGGTAACAGGGAAGCAGTAGTAATAATGTTCATTGTTATTGCTGAGTAGTATTATACGAATGTACTGTAATTCCTTTATCCATATACTAGTTCATACACATTTAAGTTGTTTCTAATTTTAAACATTCTCTGACAGGTCTTTAAGTGTAAGTGCAATTCTCTGAAGTGTTGGTTCCTTTACCATCATTACAAGTGATTCCCTGATGCTTATGATATTCTCTGATGTTTATATTCTAAAAGGCTAAAACAAAGAATCCCTTAACATGAAAGTAACATTCTATTTACTTCCCTCACAACGATTTTCTCTCCTGAACAAACACACTTAAAGCCATCAAGAAATTTCAGTTTCATAGATGAAGAGAGCAATTATAAGAACACTGCTCTCAACGATTGCCTGTTACCTTATTTTAAGAATGAATAAAAAATATATAACTATATAAAAAGAATGCTACAGTTTATACACACTCACAAACACACACCCCAACTTCTCTACATACAAAACCAATTAATGGTGTTTTATTCAATTATTATGATTACCTTCCTCCGGGAGAGTAGACAAAGTCCACCAGTTCATTACACATAAGTTCCCAAAAAGATGGCACAACTTTCTCGGTAGCATAACTGAATTCTGTGATATTTTTGAGGCACTATATATATTTTATTTTACTTACTGAAACCATGTTAAAGTAACTGAATTGCAAGAGAAATACATATTTGCTGTGCTTAGAAAATGACTACATTTTCTAAAGCTAAGAACCAACAAAAGCTTGCTATATAATCCAACGTGAGAAACACAGAGAAAGGATTCTAGTGAGAGTTGATGAACAACAAAGAAAGCTTAAATGATCTGCATAATTCCAAACCTCAGCATTGCTACACAATCACAATGGAAAGAATGTATGGTAATTAGACAGCTTTAAATGCTGAAAATATCCAAAGGATCATTCTTTTCTCCTAAAAGCTTTTGATCAAAGAGGAAATCCTAGAGTCTTCATGATTACTCCTTCTTTACTTAAAAAAACAAAACAACAACGATTAAGTACTACTAAGTATTGCTATTGATGGGTTTCTCCTCTCTTTTTAATTTAAGCAGCATTATTCAGCATAAGATTCCATTTTAAGTATATTAAATCTTTAACCAGTATATCTGATTAACATTTTAGCCCTCAACAGGGAAAACGGGCATAATGACTATCTTCAATAATCTAAAATGGCATTGTGGTGAAAATTAAAAAAGATGTATCAATTCCTGAGAATTACCAAATATATTGAAGCCACAGCAGGTATGTGTCACTTTTGTTAAATGTTCATATACTTGACAGTGTACATCCACTGCTTCTGTCTATGTCTGGCTTTCTAAAATATTTACTATAAATTCTGCTTGTACTAGGCATTTTAAGCATTTCACTTTTTTTCATCTTCCTTTTACATAGTATTTAGTCATTTATTTCTTAAGTTGCCTTTGGGATACCACAAAGAATAAAGGCAAATTATGAAGTAAGCTAAAGGCCACTCTTCTTAATAGATACAGTGGTAAGATAATCCTACATTATTTCAAAATTTTATTAGCTTCATATCTGACATTACATCATGCCAACCACAAACTGTTGGTTATACTGGAAGAGGAAATAATCAACTAATTTTCTACTTTTTTGGTAAGCATATTAATCAGGGTTCTCCAGAAAAAGAGAACTAAGAGGAGGTATATGTGTGTATATAAATAAAGAGAGAAACATTAATTTCAGAAATTGGCTCACAAGATTATAGAAGCCAGGATGTCCAAAGATATGCAGTCAGCAAGCTGGAAAGCTAGGAGAATCAATAATGTTAAGCCTGACAACAAGGAAAGCTGATGGTGTAAGTTCTAGTCTGAGTCCAATGGCCTGAGAACTAGAAAAGCCAATAGTGTAAGTTACAGTCCAAGTACAAGAGAAGACTGGCATTCCAGCTCAAGCAGTCAAGAAGTAGCAGTTTCTTATTATACAACTGTTTCATTCTACTCACATGTTCAATTGAGTGGATGAGGGCTACCCATATTAAGGAGGAAAATATGCTTTACTCAGTCTACCAATTCAAATGTTAATATCCAAAAATACTCTCAAAGACATACCTAGAATAATGTTTAATCAAATCTGTGAGTACCTCATGGCCTAGTCAAGTTGACACATAAAATTAAGCATCACAAGTCCACTTGGCACACATCTGCACCTCCTCAAATCATATTTAGTCTCCAAATAAAGAAAATAACAAGGTCATAATTCCACCTAACGTGATGCAACTATCCTGACTACAACTGGAAATGTATTAGCCCCTTTCCAAGAAGAGGAAGTAAAGATTTTGAATGACATTTCTATTTCCCTTGATATCCTGTAATTTAAACACTATGATGTAAAGCAAACAATACTTAAATACTATTATATATAGTCGAACTATCTTATATTACATGACAAGGGAATAAAAGAGGACAGAAAACAAACACACACACACACACAAACATAACAAAATAAGATGGAAATACACATGACAATTACAGGCCTTGTTTCTGTATTAATAGCTGGTATTAATAACTATCTTCTTCCACTGCCTATTTTGTATTTGCTTTGCCTTCACCAATCACCTCATCTGGTTGTGACTGTTTACCCAGTGGGGTGACCCTAACTTTCATTCCTGAAGGATCTGGATCATAGTACTCCTGCTTGGGTTGGGTTGGGTTGGTCAGTTTTCCACTGACCAAGACATCCTAAGGGATACCCTGTATTCCAGACATACTCTACCTCCATTATAGAACAGCAATCTAATTTCTCATTGGTAGTTAAGATCAATCAGTCAAGCCAGCACAGTAACTCTCTTCTTTGCCTATTGATTCAGAGATATGAGGAGTCCAAAGTGACCAGGCTAGAATCTTCCATTTCAACTGAATCACTGTTTTATTTCCTGGTAAAAGCATTCCACCATCTGGAACTAAGATCTCTAGGTCATCAAAGCATAAGTTCACAGGAACAGGAAGCAAAAATTTTGCTAGCAAGTCACTAGAGATAATAATGACTGGTGCCACTCCTGTTTCCACCCCTTGATTCTTGGATCCATGAATCCTGGCAATGGAAGAAAGAGCACCATATATTGGAAACTGATCCAGCATATATACAGCCTTCTGGAGAATCCTGCACCAGCCTTTCAAGGCACTGCCACCAAGCTGGCACCATAATTGAGTCTTCAAAAAGCCATTCCACCATTCTATCAAGTCAGCTGTTTCACTACAGTAGAGACCATCTTAAGACCAGTCAATTCCATGAACATGGGCCCACTGCCACATTTCTTTTGCTGTGAGGTGAGTTCTTTGATCAGAAATAATGCTGTGTGTAATATTAATACCATGATAGTAGATAAGGTATTCTTTAAATCCATGTCTGGTAGTTTTGGCAGAAGCAATGCATGCAGGGAAAGGAAATCTATATTCAATGTCTACTCCAGCAGGAATAAGAACAAAACACTGTCCCTTTCATGATGGGAGCAAACTAAGAAAACAAAATGTTAGAGCCTTTTATAATTCCCCAAGCTGCAGAATCTCTGCTTAGTGAGCCCATATCAATAGATTTGGTCTGATCCAGCTTTATGTTCCTTCTGACATTATCCTATACCCTTAATATGCATGATCACACATGTTCTCTGGACTTTTGTCTGTATAAATAGAAAACTTAAGCATTTATTTCAGAGTGTAGTACATGTCTTCATGGGTCACACTTTGTGCCTCATCTTTAGGGGCCTACTAAGACTTGAGTGTAGTTATAGGTCTAGAAACAAAGAGGAGTCGGTGGGGAGAGGTCTTGAGAATTGTCTTGCATGCCAACTTCCTCAGGGAAAGCCATTACAGTTTGCTTGGGCAATGCAGAATTAATTCCCCTGGGGGGAAAGGAGGGGCAGAGGGGAGGTGGGTAAAGAGGCCATTCCCACTAGGTGTGTGGGGGTCTCTTCAACTGGCAAAGAAGACTCATCAGAATTTAGGGATTCAAAGTCCCCAGCTTCATCAGGGTCTTTCCATGCATCCCCATTCCAATTTTCAAGATCCCATTCCTTCCCAATCAATAAACTCACTATAACTTATTTGTTTATTAAAACTCTTAAATAATTGACTGTGAGGTCTTTGAAGACCCAGAGTGGCACTTACTCCTGTATCCCCCAATGCCTAGTACAGGTACTTGAAATATAGTCAGGACTCAAATAAAGATTTCTATTAAACTGAATTTTGCTTCTCAACATACCTCAGTTCTCCATTATTTAACTTTCATAGACTCAGTTTTGGCAGTTAGTAAATCTTTGCTTATGCATCAATCAAAGGTCTGCTAGTAGTGCCTCATTAATAAAAAACGGACTTGTTCACCAAGGGAAACACATAAATAACTAGTTTGCTCACATTTTCCCAAGATGATAGAAAACTTGTGTTAAAGAAAACTAAATATGGCCTGAGAGGGATTCCATACTTCTATATCTGAGTCCTTGTGGATGAACTGCACCTATCTTAATAGGTTGACAAGACTGAAAACCTAACTTAGGGGTATGCGCCTGTAAAAGAGCTGAGTCTTGGCCAATCCCAGTGGCCATATTTCAATGATTCATACACTGCTGAGCATTCAAACTGTGTTCAAATAAGGCAAACACCAACCTGTAAACAATCAAGCTGTTCTGTACCTCACTTCCCATTTCTGTACTTCATTTCCTTTTTTTGTCTATAAATCTTCCACCATGTGGCCACCACACTGGAGTCTCTTTGAATCTGCTGTGATTCTGGGGGCTACCCAATTCACAAATCGTTCATTGCCCAATTAAACTCCTTTAAATTTAATATGGCTGAAGCTTCACTTTTAACAGATAGTGTCAGAAGCGGGATCCAAAGCAGAGCTTCTAACGACCCCCAGGAGCACTGAGTGAACAAGCAAGGTACCTGCAGGACCCATTTGTGTCCACTGATCTCACAGTGGCTGGGGATTGCGGTAAGTTCTCTCTTGGATTTCAGAACTCCATGGATTTGTGTTTTGAGCTCTCTGAGTTTCTTTGACCAAATTTCTAATCCAAACTGGGTTTGGAAGTCATGACAGAAACTGGACTGGGTCCAGGAATGGATTTGATCCAGAAATTAACTGGCTAGGGACCAGTTAGAGGCCTCTTACATCTGACTGGGTCACAAAGAAACTGGTAGCAAACTGTAATATTGTAGGGGTTATAAAATTTGGCATTTGAAAATTCACACAGGGATTTTTACATTCTACCCCTTTGTTTCATTTTTCTGGTGTGCTTAGGTAAGAAAAAAAAAAAAGAACTGGCTAAGTTAATCAAGAGAACCTGAGAGTAAAGCCAACATTTTAGGTAAAAAATGGGATCCTTAATTTCTAGAAAACTGAGTTCCTTCCAGCTTACACATTAGACCCAAGAGGCAACGAACTCTTACAGAAATGACAAAATCTTACTAAACATAACTTACAGTAAAACATTCCAAGTGAACAACAATCTACAGAAGTGCATTTAAAAATGAAGTTTCCCAAATTAATCTCATCTAGGGATGCCTATTAATATGCAGAAGCTTCTAAAAAAGATTTAGGGATGATGGGGCCCATCTGGGGGCAATTTTGAAACCTGCCAGTCTGATATTGGGTGCTAGGCAGACTCGCTAATGTCTATGTTTTGTCACACGTATTTTGCACTGGCCAGAATGGAAAAAGATAATTTTCCTTTGTGTTGTGGCTTGGGCCTCAGGGTTATGGTGCGGTGAGCCAGGTCACTAGGGCCACTCAGGGAAAGGAAACCCAGAGGCTTGGCATGTTGGCAAAGGGGTAAGAATTTCTTACCACTCAGATTTCTGGCCTCTTTTTCTCTGTTCAAACTGGTTAAATGAATGGTAAAAATCACTGTTTATCTCCTCTGTGAAGTTTTAATTAACACAAAAAAGAATTCTGAGGCTGGTCTTAAGCTGTAGTGAATCTAGTGTGCTTAGTCTTTCTGTATTGTTCTGTCATAAAGAGGGGTACCTTAGGACAAAATACGTGCCTAAAACCCTGGAAGCCTCGCTGTTCAAGATGGCCCAGCAAACTGGTCAGTAATAACCTTTGCTGCAGATACCTGAAAGAAGAAAAAGAAAAAAATAATAATAAATGAGACTCCGTCTTGTTTTGTATGTCCCTGGAAGCTTGACTTTGTAACTATTTGGCAATACTGTCTCAGTCTCTGCCATCACAATGGCTGCTGGCTCAGGGTGCAATTCCCAGCTTAGGCAATGAGTACTTTCTGCTTGATATTTGGGTGTCCTTTACCATTTTTTAATTATCTTACCCTCCACAAATCATCTTCAATTTTTCTATCTTTAAACACAAAAATATCAGCTGTTTGTCCTGGCTAAAGTCAGGTAATAAAAAATTTATAAGAACTTTTATTAAAGAGTCCTATGCTTAAAAGTCAGCTTAATTAAAAGCAGATATTCAAGCTCTAACAGCCTGGGACTCCTTGGGAAAAACAGGAGGCACCAGAGACCCTTTCCTGGCCCTGTTCTTCCAAAGACTTCATCCTATAGCCAGTAATCCAATTTAAAAACTTAGAAACTGGTAAATAGAAACTTACAACAACTGTAATAATCTTCTGTCTGTGCAGTTATATATGTGTTGTGTGTGTAATGTTTATATAAAAGAGCTCTAATTAATTGGTTTAAAGAAAAATAGGCACTTAAATATTTTGAAAGAAAAATAAAAACTGTAATGCCTTTTAGTTCAAGTGAATTTAGTAATCTTTGGGAAATAAAACATTTTAAAGATTTTTGGCAAAAATAAAGATATACGATCTAAATTATTCAGGTCAGATACTAGGTTTGTTAAATGCTTTAAGGTCATACACTGCCTTGACTTTAAAGCCCTGGGGACATATGGAATTAGCCAAGTTCCCTAGCTATGCAAAGAGGGTTATAAAGAAAAGAGATTTTATATAAGAAAGGATCTTGTATGGTAAATTATTGTCCTAAAGTAAAAAATGACTGGTTGTTTAAAAAGAAGGATGTTTAGGACAAGTCAGAAAGTACAAGCATGTTGTAGATGGTCTACGGAAGTTATGAAAGGATTAATGAAAAGAAATTTATGCACCAAAAGTGAAAGTTGCTAAGAATTACCATTTTAACATATAATTGAGACTACTGAAAAAAATAGGTTTACATGCAAAGTATGAGGAGAATGAAATGTGTTTTGGTAAAAGATTATAAGAAAGCATGGGATGTAAATTTTTGCAAAGTTTAAAGGGTTAAAGGATTGTTTAAAATTAGATAAAGCTAAAGTTTTAAACAAGTTGTGAAAGTGTTATAAAAAATCTTGAGCTGGGTGTAGCAACTCACATCTATAATCCTAGCACTTTGGGAGGCTGAGGCAGGTGGATCACTTGAGGTCAGGAGATCAAGACCAGCCTGGTCAACATGACGAAACCCTGTCTCTACTAAAAATACAAAAATGAGCCAGGCCTGGTGGCGGGCACCTGTAATCCCAGCTACTCGGAGGGCTGAGGCAGGAGAATCACTTGAACCCAGGGGCCGAGGTTGCAGTGAGCCGAGATCACACCACGGGCGAAAGAGTGAAACTCTGTCTCAAAAAAATAAGAAGAAGAAGAAGAAGAAATAATAAATAATTAACGTTATTAAAGAAATTCTGTGTGTGAACACATTGGCCAAATTTAAAGTGGTATTTTTCAGCTTTTCCATAAATTGAAAATGGGAATAAAAGCACAACAGGGTTTTTCTTAAAGCACTAACCTTCTCTTTCACAAAAATTGTAAAAGGTTATAAAAGGTTTATGAGAATCTCACCTTATGGTCA
Source organism: Homo sapiens (assembly GCF_000001405.40). NCBI lineage: Eukaryota > Metazoa > Chordata > Mammalia > Primates > Hominidae > Homo > Homo sapiens. The sequence goes on along the minus strand of NC_000012.12, from coordinate 28,209,236 downwards.
AACCAAGATTGAATTGATTTGTTTATAAGGTTTATTAAAAATTGGGATTGACATTAATAGTAGACTAATGCAAGGGTGAAATTTGGCTTTCTCTCTTGAACAATATTTTCATGAACTATTAAAAGATAATGGGCCAGGTATGGTGGCTCACGCCTGTAATCCCAGCACTTTGGGAGGCTGAGGCAGGCAGATCATGAGGTCAGGAGATCAAGACCATCCTGGCTAACATGGTGAAACCTCATCTCTACTAAAAATACAAAAAAAAAAAATTAGCCGGGCATGGTGGCAGGCACCTGTAGTCCCAGCTACTCAGGAGGCTGAAGCAGGAGAATGGCGTGAACCCGGGAGGCAGAGCTTGCAGTGAGCCAAGATCATGCCACTGCACTCCAGCCTGGGTGACAGAGCAAGACTCCATCTCAAAAAATAAAATAAAATAAAATAATGAAAGATTTTCTTTGCCTTTTGAATAAACTACCAAAAAGGAAGGGAAAGACAAGAGACAAAAGTTAAGTCTTCCCTCTATCAATGAGTAAAGATTTTTACCTTTTTAAAAATTTTTTAAATCATCATTTTGGCTAAATGAATGACTTACAGTAACCTGGATTCTATTTCATAATATCAAGTATTTTAAACCTTTAAAATATTTGATAGGCTTCTCAAAATCAAATTTCACCTTTAAAATGGTCTTTTCTGACATCCAACTTTGGAATGCTCCAGAGGGCCCCTGAAGCATTTAAGAGACAGGTAAACAGGATTATTTGGCATGTTAAGTTACATGGGAAACTTTATCAAAATAAAAATAATGTTTAGTCTCCAAGTTATACTTTAGTGAATTATATTAATATATGTTCCAAAATTGTATGGGACTTCTAAAATTCTATTATGTCTGAGTATATGCTATCAATCATAATTAAAGTTATGTTAAGTTATTGTAGACCACAGAAATAACCAAATTTCTTTGTCAATTGTGTTTTTAATTATAACTATTTAAAGTCATTTCCACAGTTAATTGCTTAATGCTGATGCAGTTTCTCAAAATTTCAAAAGCATGGCGTCTTTCAGGAGGTTCATGAAAGATGGAGAGGACCCTGAAAAGTACTCTTGAATACAGGTTTCTAATAGCTTTAGAATCATGTCATTTGAACTGGGTAAGAATTCCTGGAACTTTAATGAAAAGACTGACTGGGTTATAAAACTGCTAATCCAAGTAGAACAAAAATTAATTAAATACCAAGGAAATACTTTGCCAGATTTTCATGCTAAATGAGCAAATACTGAAATTATTTAGATACACAATTTGAATAAAATCCATGGTCTAAGTCAAATTACCTATGATAACCTATCAGTTATCAGTGCTATGCACCTAATTTGGAGAATCAAGTCCAATGTTAAGCATGGACTCATGAAAAACCAGAACAGCTGCCTTGTCCTTATTGAGTCCTTAAACCTTTTATTATTAAAAGTTCTGCATTCCATGACTCATCACGGAAAAGATAAAATGATCCAAATTAAATATATTGATGTGGTGACTTATAAATTGTGAAAATAGTTTATAACCAATGTTCCATTCCATATTCTTCAGAAGACAATCAAAGCTTCAGGTACATTTGCCTACCTGATGGGCCATTTAAACATTTATAAAGGGATTTCATTTGTCATTTTCAATGCATGTTTTCTGGTTGTATACAAACTTTCCCATGCAAGAGGACTGATCTTATAACACGAAATTATTGTGCCCAGTGTATTTTCATCAGGTCAATAAAGCTTTTTATGGTTTTGAGGACAATTAACCCCTTCAGAATCCAAAGACTGGATCTTCTGAGAACATCAGAGAAAGACTGCCCTTGCCATCCATTCTGCAACAAAACTTTGGAACCTTGAACCTTGGGTTCATAATCTCACAACTGAGAAGGGTCCCTCCACACTCTTGGAACTGTACACCCATTGAAATCCTTAAGGTAAAGCTAACCAGAGAAGTTTCTCCCCAGAAGAAGACAGCATCCTTGATGTGAACAGCTTTTCCCAAGATCACAGATTAAGATTTCTCTACTATCATTAGACTCTTATCTTTGAATATTTTCTTCCTTGCTTATGTCTCTATGAACAATAGAAGTGGAAAAAAGGTCTGTTGTATGCACTTACAGGATATACTTTCATTTGTGAAGAATTTTGCAGCCAGCCTTATACATGGATAATCTTACACTTTGAGAGATAAAAGATGAAGGCCCAATGTGAGTGAGAAACTTTGCCTCATAATCAGTCAGAAACAGAACATTGATTCACTCCTCTTAACCCACAACCTAGGTTAAAGAAAACATTGCCTGGAGGCCTTCACTTCCCTGGAAGGGCATCATTTGTTAGGTCCTTTTTCCACGGTTTGGAATAAAAGAGGCAATGATTAGAAATGTATCCCTCATGATAGGCTCTATAGCATGATAGGCTTTATATACTGTAAAGGCTAGGGTTACACAACAGACTTTAAATTCTCTTGTAAAAGTCATGCTAAATAGTATTAAGTGGCTAAACACAGAAGTACCTGCAGCCACTGGCACTTACGACCTATAGAGAAAACATCAGGTATTATAGAAACTCAGTTGCAGGGGATTAATGAAAAAACTACTTAGTTAAGTGAGTAGACTCTTTATCTAGCTCATTCTCTGATCTATTTGAGTTTAGGAGGTTTGGTTTATGGGGACCCTAGGTAAGGAGCATACTCCAAACCCTTGGTATTATCCTCCCGTAGTCATAATAATAGTCTCCCTAGTGCACTGTATTCTCTCAAAGGTTTTAAATGTTTGCATGCAGCCATCTCTAGAATATCTAACGGTCTCTCTTCAAGTGGAATGACAAGAGCTGAAAGAAATGTGTGACCATGAGGATACTGTAACCTATGAATGACATGCTGAGACTGGAAACCCAAATGATGTTAACAGAGAGTGGTGCTAAGGCCCTAAGTTTTGGTCACACTCTCACCTGAGAACCTGACCAAAAAGGTGGAATTTTTTTAAACAAAATTATGGGTGGCCATTGTTTTAGACTGAGCTCACTCACTAGGCCCCAACAGACCAAACCAAACAAAACTGGAGTTGCTCATGCTGAATGTGACATAATCAAACTAAGACTTTAAGGAAACACATAGATCCTACAGGAGAACAGACCTGGTTTGTTTTTCCCCTGTAAACAGGACATTCCAGCATAAGGAGGTACTCTTGTTCCTACCTTTGCAAAACTCACTGTTCTACTGTTTCCTGGTGGGTTTCAAGACCAAATAAGTACATTTACTACAATGATTGTGACATTAATGACTAAAGTTGTGCTCAATCTCTCAAAAATTGAGAAAATGAGCAAAAGGGGAGAACTGCTAAAGCAAACCAAATATGGCCTGAGAAGGACTCTATACTTGTATATTTGAGTCTTTGTGGACCAACTGCAACCTAACTTAATAGGTTGACAAGACTGAAAACCTAACTTAGGAGTATGCGTCTGTAACAATAGCTGAGTCTTAGCCAATTCCAGCAGAAAGACTTCAACCATTCATACACTGCTGAGTGTTTAAACTGTGTTCAAATAAGGGAACCAATCCAAATGTTCTATACCTCACTTCCAATTGCTGTATGTCATTTCTTTTTTGTCTACAAAACTTCTTCCACCGTGTGGCTGCAATACAGTCTCTTTGAATTTGCTGTAATTCTGGGAGCTGCCCAACTTGCAAATTGTTCATTGCTCAATTAAACTCCTTTAAATTTAATTTGGCTGAAGTTTTTCTTTTAACACTTGTTTTAACCACTCATTTTCATTTTTCCTTGAATTAAAAGTGCTGGTATACTCAGCACATTTTTCATCTCATCCTGACTTTAGTATGAATAACCTGTCATTTTTTTTTACCTCTGTACTTAATATGTAATTGAGTACCAGTATCTATAAATGACTTCTAATTCATATAGACTTTAATCCACTCAATATAACTATTAGACTTGCATGTTAAAAAAAAAAAGTCTGAAGCACACCTTCATTCGCCTTTCCCTCTTCATTCTCCCTTCTCTCTTCACTCTCCTTTCTCTCTATAATTGAGCATATTCCTGACAAAACTGACATCCTATGAGCAATATCTGAAAGAGTTTTCCTCTTCACCATTATGAAGACTAGCCGAGTCATTAACTAAAAATCCAAGGCTTTCCAACAGGCAATCTAGGCACTCCCAACATTCTTCATATGCCATAATGTCAGGGTCCTAAAGAAATGTCAACTGATTCTGTTCCTCTACTGAGTAAATACGTAATAAATCTTAAAAATGTTAATTATGCATGGTAGCAATGATACTAAAAAGTTTTATTTACTAAATTCCTATAATTGCGTATAAGTATTCCTTTAATTGTGTATAAATGTATTTGGTTGATTTTTTATATTTTACACTAACTAGACGCTACAGAAGAATTAGCTGTACTTCTAGAAACCCACTCTCTTCACCTTGAGCAACTCTGTGGTGAGCCTTTGGCAGCAATATATACCACCCAAACATGAGACACCTGTCTGGTAACAAATAAGTAAATAAATACCTAGCTTAAAACTACACATGATTCAAATGTAATAAGGAGAGTAAAGAGAAGAGAAAAATACATCTTAGAAATACCTAACATGACTTTCCCTCACAAAAAAATGCAGGAATATAAAGCAGGTCCTTTGCATCCTTAAATTCATGATGAGTGTGAAAATTTGAAATTGCTTACACTAGGAATTGCTAATTTTGCATTCTGAATGATGAAATATATCATAGCATTACTTCCCCAAAAAATGCCAGTATGCATCATTTTATTTTTAATCAGAAAATTAATAATCAAAATAAATGCATATCAGGGACTGGCTAATATGAGCATGAAAAAGCATCTCTAGTAATCATTTACAACATCTGCAAACCATTAATGTCTTCCTCATGCAGAAAAGTGATATAAATTAAATAAAACACAAAAACTCACATATATTCATATCGTAAGAACCCGAAGATGCAATACAGCTACATTTTAACCCCATGTTCTTACCAATTTTTTGAGGGCACCAATCATGTGACTCTCTTCTACAGCACTGGAAAATAATATTCTCAATTATGACTGCCAGGTACCATAGCTTGATAAGCATTCAGTTAAATGCTTTAAAAAGGGACAGAGGGAGAGATCATTTACCTTCAATAATTAAGGCATCAAAACCCACAAATACATGTCTAGACATTTTCACAAAATCAAGGAAAAACTGGGCTTCTGGTTGTTTTTTTTAACTAGGAAATTCCATTAACCAGAAAATCTAATTTCTCCAAGTAATATGTTCAGGCATAGCACACAGTGTTTAATAATATTCAGTATAATCATTTTGGCAATTCAATTGAATTTTTAGCCATAATTCACAAGCCTAAACTGAAGATTTCCTCTATTCAAAACTGACTCAAATTATTTAAGAACAAAATTACATAATGGCTAATAATGTTCTATGTCTGCACCATACTACTTATTATTAATAAAAGTAGCTTACGTTCTACCTTATCAGATCTCTTTCACTCATATAATCAACAATTCAACTTTTTCTACATGTATAAATTCCTAACTATACTGCAGACACCTCCCTAAATTTAGGAACAGATTGTAATTTTCATCCTGCAGAATTTTCACAGCACTAAGCAGATGCCTAATATTGTTAAATGGTTTGCTACATATGGGAAATTTTTACATATCTGAATTAGAATAATCCCTAAATGATCTCTTATATGCAGCTGTATACCACAGATGATAAACATGAAGCAAAGTGGTGGAATATAAGTATAATTGGGATAAGGTGACATTAAGAAGAACTTGGGCTATTAAAATACTACACAGTGACATCAGCAGGAATAGTGGAGTTAAGGAACTCCAAAAATCCTTTCCTCCATAAAGCAAGAACAACAGTGGCAAAAATTGTCAAAGTCAACTTTTTTCAGAACTCTAGAAATTAATCAAAGGCTTGCATCAATCTAGGAAGAACATATTACAGAAAAATGGCTGATTTTCATTAAGAAAAGCAAGTTTTATGGCATTTTAATCTCATCCCTCTATCCCCAGTACCATGAGAGCCTTGAAAACTAGAAGGCTCAAAAATCACAATAAAATCCAGCAGCCTAGCAGCCACCAGGAGGGGCAAAATAGGGTTGGACCTCCTCCAAAACCCCATTCCCAGAAATTGTCATTATTGACCTGTCTGGCAGTTCCCTGGAAAACACCACTCCTTTACTTGTCTTTATTTGACCTAAGAGCTTGTCCAGTGCCAATAACCTTTTCCCCAGATAGCATTTGTCAAAAACAAACAGAGCCAACTGTTTAACATCAGCTTGCCTGAGGTGGCAGTAACAGTTGGGGCAAACAACAAGCTGACCAGAATCTTAAAAGGAAAAGCTAGGTAATGAAATGTCAATAGGGGATTTTGATAAGATCCAACATATTCCTTGAACTCCAGATGGCCAAGCTCATGCAAGTACTCAGTAAAGAATTGAAAAGGTGACCTAAGCTTTGACTTCTTGCTACACTTTAAGCTCTGTACAAGTGGGAACTAAAAGCTAAAGTAGAGTTATAAACTGCCTGTCTAAGCATTGAAGGCATGCCCCATCATGCACACAGAGACCACCAGCAAAGGCTGGGAGACTCATTGCTTCCAAGCATTAGGGAAATAACTGTCCAATCATTCGCTGTCCAGTACTAACCATGCAGAGACTTTGGTGGCCACACATAAAAGAATACAAAGTTTACATAAAGAGTTCAGGAAAGTCACTATGCAAACAAATAACAAGAGCAGCAACAAGAAGAAACCCTGAGAAGGAGAATCTGATTTCCAGAGTTACCACATTAGATATTATTTAATTATCTAATTTTCAACAAAAAATTGTGAGACATGCAAGAGACAAGAAAGGATGATCTATACATGGAGAGAAAAAAGGCAGTTAATTGTCCCTAAGGAAGCCCAGACATTGGACTTATGAGACAAAGACACTAAAACGTTTTCTCTAAATATTTTCTTAGATACAGTTTCAAAGAGCTAAAGAAAACCATATATGAAGTATGATAACAATATCTCACCAAATAGAGATTATTAATGAAGAGATAGAGATTACAAAATAAAGAAACAAACATTGTGGAATTAAAAAGTATAATAATTTAATTCAAAAATTCACTAGAGAAGAAACATAGAAAACCCTCTCCCTCTCCCTCTCCCTCTCCCGATGCCGAGCCGAAGCTGGACTGTACTGCTGCCATCTCGGCTCACTGCAACCTCCCTGCCTGATTCTCCTGCCTCAGCCTGCCCAGTGCCTGCTATTGCAGGCACGCGACGCCACGCCTCACTGGTTTTTGTATTTTTTTGGTGGAGACGGGGTTTCGCTGTGTTGGCCGGGCTGGTCTCCAGCTCCTAGCCGCGAGTGATCCGCCAGCCTCGGCCTCCTGGGGTGCCGGGATTGCAGACGGAGTCTGGTTCACTCAGTGCTCAATGATGCCCAGGCTGGAGTGCAGTGGCATGATCTCGGCTCGCTACAACCTCCACCTCCCAGCCGCCTGCCTTGGCCTCCCAAAGTGCCCAGATTGCAGCCTCTGCCCGGCCGCCACCCCGTCTGGGAAGTGAGGAGCGTCTCTGCCTGGCCGCCCATCGCCTGGGACGTGAGGAGCCCCTCTGCCTGGCTGCCCAGTCTGGAAAGTGAGGAGCGTCTCTGCCCGGCCGCCATCCCATCTAGGAAGTGACGAGCGCCTCTTCCCAGTCGCCATCCCATCTAGGAAGTGAGGAGCGTCTCTGCCTGGCCGCCCATCGTCTGAGATGTGGGGAGAGCCTCTGCCCCGCTGCCCCGCCTGGGATGTGAGGAGCTCCTCTACCTGGCCGCGACCCCGTCTGGGAGGTGAGGAGCGTCTCTGCCCGGCCGCCCCGTCTGAGAAGTGAGGAGACCCTCCGCCTGGCAACCGCCCGTCTGAGAAGTGAGGAGCCCCTCCGCCCTGCAGCCGCCCCGTCTGAGAAGTGAGGAGCCCCTCCGCCCAGCAGTCACCCCGTCTGGGAAGTGAGGAGCGTCTCCGCCCAGCAGCCACCTCGTCCGGGAGGGAGGTGGGGGTCAGCCCCCCGCCCGGCCAGCCGCCCCGTCCGGGAGGTGAGGGGCGCCTCTGCCCTGCCGCCTCTACTGGGAAGTGAGGAGCCCCTCTGCCCGGCCAGCCGCCCCATCCGGGAGGGAGGTGGGGGGGTCAGCCCCCCGCCCGGCCAGCCGCCCCGTCCGGGAGGGAGGTTGGGGGGTCAGCCCCCTGCCCGGCCAGCCGCCCCGTCCGGAAGGGAGGTGGCGGGGTCAGCCCCCCGCCCGGCCAGCCGCCCTGTCTGGGAGGTGAGGGGCGCCTCTGCCCAGCCGCCCCTACTGGGAAGTGAGGAGCCCCTCTGCCCGGCCACCACCCCGTCTGGGAGGTGTACCCAACAGCTCATTGAGAACAGGCCATGATGACAATGGCGGTTTTGTGGAATAGAAAGGGGGGAAAGGTGGGGAAAAGATTGAGAAATCGGATGGTTGCTGTGTCTGTGTAGAAAGAGGTAGACATGGGAGACTTTTCATTTTGTTCTGTACTAAGAAAAATTCTTATCCTGTTGATCTGTGACCTTACCCCCAACCCTGTGCTCTCTGAATCATGTGCTGTGTCCACTCAGGGTTAAATGGATTAAGGGCGGTGCAAGATGTGCTTTGTTAAACAGATGCTTGAAGGCAGCATGCTCGTTAAGAGTCATCACCACTCCCTAATCTCAAGTACCCAGGGACACAAACACTGCGGAAGGCCGCAGGGTCCTCTGCCTAGGAAAACCAGAGACCTTTGTTCACTTGTTTATCTGCTGACCTTCCCTCCACTATTGTCCTATGACCCTGCCAAATCCCCCTCTGCGAGAAACACCCAAGAATAATCAATAAAAATAAATAAATAAATAAATAAAAAGAAACATAGAAAAGCTACCACTCAAAAAAAAAAAAAAATTCACTAGAAGAGTTCAACTGCACATTTGAGCTGGCACAAAAATCAGTGAACTTGAAGATAGGTCAATTGAGATTATCCAGGCTAAGGAACAGAATGAAAAAAGAATGAAGAAAAATAAACAGAGCATCAAAGACCTATAGGAAACCATCAAGCATACCAACATATGCATAATGAGAGAACCAGAAAAAGAGGAGAAAAAGGAAGGAACAGAAAGAATATTTGAAGAAACGATACAAGGAAACTTCTCTAATTTGATGAAAAGCATTAATCTATACATCTAAGAAGCTCAATAAACTCAAAGTAGGATAAAATTCAAGAGATCCACACTGTAACACATCATAACCAAACTTTCGAAACATAAAGAGAGAATACTGAAAGCAACAAGAGAGAAGCAACTCATCAAAAATAGGGAATCGTCAAAAAGATTTCCTATCTGATTTCTCACTAAAAACCACGGAGGCCAGAGGCAGTGGAAAGATACATTCAAATTCCTAAAAGAAAAAGACTGCCAACTAAGAATTCTAATTCTAGCAAAACTATTCTTTGAATATGAAGAAATTATGACTTTCTCAGATAAACAAAACCAAAGAGAATGTATGCTAGCACATCTTATCTATGAGAAATACTAACCTGGGTCTCTCAGGCTGAACTGAAAGGACAAGAGACAGTATACTTGAATCTACATAAAGAAATTAAGAACACTGGTAAAGATAACTACATAGGTAAATATAAAAGAAAATATAAATGTATGTTTGGTTGTGGCTCTTTTCTCCTATGTGATTGAAAAGACAGCTGCATAAATCAAGAATTATAAATCAGTGTTAATGGATACTGTATTAATGTAGAAAGATGTAACTTACACAATAATAGCATGAAGGAAGGGGAGGGAATATATAGGAACAAAATTTGTAAACTTAAACTTAGTTAGTATTAATTAATATAGATTGTTATAAAATAAGGTACTATTTGTAAGTCCCAGGGCAACCACTGAGAACTCAAAAAATATTTAGTAAAAGAAACGTCAAGGCCGGGTGCAGTGGCTCACAACTGTATTCCCAGCACTTGGAAGGCCAAGGTAAGAGGATCACTTGCGGCCAGGAGTTCAAGACCAGCTCAGGCAACAGAGTAAGAACCTGTCTCTACAAAAAATAAAAAAATTATCCAAGCATCGTGGCACACACCTGTAGTCCTAGCTACTAGGGAGGCTCAGGCAGGAGAATCACTTGAGCCAAGGAGCTGGAGGCTGCAGTGAGCTATGATGGCGCCACTACACTTCAGCTTAGGCGATTCTGTCTCTTAAAAAAAAAAAAAGAGAAACATCAAGGAAATTAAAATGGTACATTAGAAAATATATACTTAATACAAAAAAAGGCAGAGAAAGCAATAATGTAGTAATTAAGGAATGAAAAAAATTACTTGATATACAGAAAAAATAGCAAAATGACAGACATAAATACTACCTTAAGCATTAGTAAATACATTAATTGTAAATGGATTCAACACTCCACTCATAAGTCAGAAATTGCTAGACTGAATAAAAAGAGAAATAAATCTCTTCTGCATAACCAACAAGAGATAAAACTTAAAATATCTAAATATCTCATGAAAACTATCACCATTTATTAAACATTCTTCTCATTCAGCAAAATGGAAAATAGGTATTCATTGCCACTTGTCTTCTGATTCAGGGTGGCCCATTTAATGTCATTCAGCTTTCACAGGCTTATTTTGTTTTTCATGCCCAATTTTGGCAAACTAAGCAAAAGGTCTAACCTAATTTTAAGTTGTCTGTATAAAATTCGTAATTAAAATGATACTTAATCTCATCTTTAATCACTATCTTTTACTGATGTCTAAGCATGTAGTTTTTAAATAATATTCATATAAGCCCATCTGTCAGTGAAGCATATTCATAGATTAATGGATCTTGCATAACACTGCAGCACTGTCTTTACTACAATTGCAGAAGTTCTGAATTCTCATAATATAAAATGTAAGCAGCTTTTTAAAATGACTATGTAGACCTACTCTTTAACCACAGGGCTGAATATAATAAAAAACATAGGAGGTGGTAGACACAGAAAAGCCAACCTTCTCTGAATACAAGGAAAAAGTGATTTCATACTTCACAAACTAATTATTTCATTCACATAGTCCATGTTGAAATGTAAATACCAAAATGTACATATCCTTCTAAGGAAAACAAATTGTTTTACCAGAATTATAACAGAGCTCATTTTATAAAGTAATTAACATTATTTTTTATCTCCATTTATTAAACCTATAATTACAAAATTCTTCACATTTCAAAATAAATAAATTGTTGTATCCTCTACTAGTCACAGTAAATATGATCCTAATTATTTAAGTAAAATTGTATGGCATATAGCCAACAATAATCTTTACGCCACTTAGAAAATAAGAATAGACTTAAGAGGATATAAATTTGGACAAACATTTCAGAAGTACTGATAACATCTCATGCTAATTTGCTAATCTGCTTAGTAAATTTATTGTTAGCATTAAAATTAATATATTCAAAATAAACATAATATATACAAAATACCTAAAATAACATAATACTCATAGTATAGCCTACAAATAAAAGCACAGATTCAGGAAGACTTGTGAACAAACTCAAGCTCTACCACTTACTATTAATACAACCTTAGGTAAGTTTGCTCACTTGGAGACAGTTTCCTTTGTCTATGAAATGGAAAAAAATGTTACTACCAAAAAGTAGCAGTTGGAATTCAATAAAACAACATACATAAAGGGTTTTACATGAAGCTAGGCACAAAGATTTCTATAATTCTTATCAAAAGAAGAGCACAGGTGGTATATTACATTATACGTAATTCATCAGTAATTCTGTATAGATCAGTGGAAACAAAATAGTATAGGCAGAAAAGTTATTTAATGATTACAGACTCTAAACCGCTTAAAAAACGGTTTGAACTAGACCGATTTCTAAGGAACTCTGTTTCTGAAATTCAAAGATTCTACCTTAAGGTGATGCCCAAAAAGCCAATGATACTGACCCCAAATTTCTTACAATAAATAGCCTAAAGAACAAATTTCAAGAGCACCAAACAGAGGCAGTGGATATAAGAACCTGAAAAAAAAATGTATATACTTTGAGTGATAATCATATTTTTATAAATTACTTTGAAAAATTATCAGAGTTAAGCACAAATATTTAATGTTAATTTCAACAGGGAAAACTGAAATACAATTTTACTATTTAACAATAAGAAAATCATTAAATGATGGGCATATCCATATAACACAATAACCCATAACCATTACAAATCAAGTTTTCAAAATAATTCATGATGCAAGTACTCCCAATGTGATTCTGAGTGAAAAGGGCAAAATATAAAACAATATTAACAATTTTGTTTTTAAAATATATTTGCAAAAGAAAAGACTGAAAGAAAAGCCACCACAATGTTTGCAGCAGTTACCTCAGATTACTGAAAATAGGGTAACTTTTTTTATAGTCTTCCTTTATTTCCAACTTTCTACTGTAATCAACTATCATGTTCACAATCAAAAAAAGCAATATAACATTCACTTGTGATTAAATTTTAAAGCTCTAAGCAGGAGTTAAAGAGAACTTCCTTGGCTGGGTCAAAATGATATCCACAAAAAACTTACAGCTAACTACTCAATGGTAAAAGACTGTATACCTTCTCTACTAAGATGAAGAGCAATGCAAGGATATCTGTGCTGATCTGACTTGTTCTAGTTAACATTAGCAAAGGTCCTAGCCAGTGCAAAGAGACAAGAAAACAAAATAAAAGGCAAACAAATGAGAAAATGTGAAATAAAGCTGTCTCTACCAGCAGACAGCAGTAGCTACAAAAGCTACTAGAACGAACTCGTGAGTTTAACAAGGTTGTAAAATTCAAAAATTCAAGATCAATATTAAAATACTGATTCACTTACATAAGTAATTGGAAATTTAAAAATTTTTAAAGGTTACTGTTTACAACAGAACCAAACAACATAAAACATTTAGATACAAACATAACAAAATATGCGCAACATTTTTATGCGGAAAGCTTAAAAACAGAGAGAAATCAAAGACCAAATAAACGTAGAAAGGTTGTTTCATTTTGTTTTCTCTCTTGAAAGAGGCTCTCTCTGTTGCAGAGGCTAGAGTGCAGTGGCATGATCACAACTCACTGCAGCCTCTACCTCCCAGGCTCAATCAATCCTCCCACCTCAGCCTTCCAAGTATCAGGGACTACAGGTGCATGGCAACACACCCAGCTAATTTTTCTCATTTTTGTAGAGATGCGGTTTTGCCATGTTGTCCAAGCTGCTCTTGAACTCCTGGGCTCAAGCGATCCTCCCACCTTGACCTCCCAAAGTGCTGGGATTACAAGCATGAGCCATAGCAGTGGGACAGGAAAGGTATTTTATTAATGGATTAGAAAACAACATTTTTAAGATGTCAATTCTCCCCAAATGGATCCATAACTTCAATGCAATCATACTAAAAATTCCACAATGCTTTTATATAGAAATAAAGAGATTCTAAAATGTACATGGAAAGAAAAAGAACTCGAATACTCAAAAATTTTTGGCAAACAACAACAAAGTTGGAGGACTCAGGCTTTTTGACTTCAAGATACACTATAACGCTACCATAATAAGGACTGAGGTTTTAGCCAAACAGACGCACAGAACAATGGAACAAAATAGAGTCCACAAAGCAAACCACACAAACATACTCAACTGATTTTTAACAAGGCAAGCCAAAGAAATTTAATGAAGAAAAGATAGTAATGAGAGGTGAAGCCGGCTGGACTTCCGGGTCAGGTGGGGACTTGGAGAACTTTTCTATCTAGCTAAAGGATTGTAAATGCACCAATCAGAGTCTGTGTCTAGCTAACAGTTTGTAAACGCACCAATCAGCACTCTGTGTCTAGCTAATCGGGTAGGGGACTTGGAGAACTTTTCTGTGTAGCTAAAGGATTGTAAATGCACCAATCAGCGCTCTGTGTCTAGCTAAAGGTTTGTAAATGCACCAATCAACACTCTGGCAAAACGGACCAATCAGCACTCTGTAAAACGGACCAATCAGCACTCTGTAAAATGGACCAATCAGCTCTCTGTAAATGGACCAATCTGCAGGATGTGAGTGGGGCCAAATAAGGGAATAAAAGCAGGCCACCCGAGCCAGCAGCAGCAACCCCTTCGGGTCCCCTTCCATGCTGTGGAAGCTTTGTTCTTTCACTGTTCGCAATAAATCTTGCTGCTGCTCACTCTTTGGGTCCGCACTATCTTTATGAGCTGTAACACTCACAGTGAAGGTATGCAGCTTCACTCCTGAAGCCAGCGAGACCACGAACCCACCAGGAAGAACGAACAACTCCGGACACGCCACCTTTACGAGCTATAACAATGAGCTGCAACACCCACCACAAAGGTCTACAGCTTCACTCCTGAGGCCAGCGAGACCACAAACCCACTGGGAGGAACAAACAACTCAGGACACGCCACCTCTATGAGCTGTAACACTCACCGCAAAGGTCTGCAGCTTCACTCCTGAAGCCAGCAAGGCCACAAACCCACCAGGAGGAATGAACAATTTCGGATGCAGCTTCACTCCTGAAGCCAGCAAGGCCACAAACCCACCAGGAGGAATGAACAATTTCGGATGCGCCACCTTTAAGAGCTGTATCACTCACTGCAAAGGTCTGTGGCTTTGCTCCTGAAGTCGGCAAGACCATGGACCCACCAGAAGGAAGAAACTCCAGACACATCTGAACTTCTGGAGGAACAAACTCCGGACACACCATCTTCAAGAACTGTAACACTCACTGCGAGGGTCCGTGCCTTCATTCTTGAGGTCAGCAAGACCAAGAACCCACTGGAAGGAACCAATTCTGGACACAGTAAGAATAGTCTTTTTCAAGAGATGGTGCTGCAAGACTGGGGCATCCATACACACACACACAGAGAGAGAAAGAGAGAGAGAGAGTCTTGACCCCTACCTCACACTATATGCAAAAATTAACTCGAAATTGGTCACAGACCTAAATCTAAAATTTAAAGCTATAAAAGTTCTGGAAGAAAACATAAGAAAAAAAATCTTTGCAACGTTGGATTAGGCAAAATTTCTCATGATAAAAAAGCACAAATCATAAGAGAAAAAACTGATAAACTGGACTTCACCAAAATTTAAAACTTCTGCTCTTTGAAAGATACTGTTAAGAAAATGAAAGGACAAACTACAGACTCAGACTCGAAGGAAATGCTGTGAACATATATACGATAATGAATTTGTATCCAGACTGTATAAAACACTTGCAAACCAATAACAAACAACCCTATTAAAAACGAACAAACGATTTCAGCAGACACTTAATCAAAGAAGATACACAGATGGCAAATAATAGCACAGGAAAAGACGCTCAATATGTTAGAAGAAAAATTCAAATTAAAACATAAATGGGTTTTCACTAAACGCATATTAGAATAGCTAACATTAAAAATAAAATGACAAGTGCTGACCAGAATGTGGAGCAACTGGAACATCAAACATCACTTGCGGGAATGCAAAATGAAACAGCTACCTTGGAAAACAGTTTGGTAATTTCCTTCTTTTTTTTTTTTTTGTTTTTGAGACGGAGTTTCACTCTGTCACCAGTCTGGAGTGCAGTGGCACGATCTTAGCTCACTGTAACCTCCGACTCCCTGGTTCAAGCAGTTCTCCTGCCTCAGCCTCCTGAGTAGCTGGGATTACAGGCACCCGCAACCACGCCCAGCTAATTTTTGTATTTTTAGTAGAGACGGAGTTTCACCATGTTGACCAGGATGGTCTCAATCTCCTGACCTCGTGAGCTGCCCACCTCGGCCTCCCAAAGTGCTGGGATTACAAGTCTGAGCCACTGCGCCCAGCTGGTAATTTCTTTTAAGGTTAAACATGCACTTGCACACGGCCCAAGAATTCCATTCCTAGATGTGTAACCAAAAGAAATGAAAACATATGTCTACACAAAGACTTGCACCTTAATGTACAAAGAACAGCACATGAATGTTTACAGTACCTTCATTCCTAAATGCCAAAAATTGTTCATCAAATGGCGAATAAACATACTATGATATATTCACACAATGAAATACTACTCAGCTGTAAAAAACAACCAAGCATCAACAAACATGCATCAACATGGATGAATCAAAGCATTAAGTGAAAGAAACCTGAAACATAAGGCTACATACTGTATGATTCCATTTACATAACATACCAGAAAAGACAAAGCTATAGACAGGGACAGAGAACAGATCAGTGGTTGCTAGGACCTATGAGTGAGGGGAGGAAACTTTAGAATGATGGGAATATTATTTGTCTGGATTGTGGCAGTGGTTCCATTATATGCATTTGTCAGACTTTATACAGCAATATAATAAAAATTACTTTTTTACTTATAAATCATACCTCAATAAAACTTGATTTTTTTTAAAAAAAGCAACATATGCCCTTTTTAAAAATATGCATCAGTTTAAATGAGCTAAACCAAACTTACTGGGTATGGGAATAGGGCAGGGAGGAACAGTAAGGAGACCAAAAATCCTTAAAATACTGGAAATCTAAAATATTAATTTATCGTTAGTAAATAAGAAACAGATATACATAAACACCAAGAGTTAATCCAAAGAGAGATGCCTTTTTCAATTAAGTTCTCATTGTTTGGACAGAAAATAAGAAAATTTGATAAACTTTCAAGGAAGATTAAAAATCACAAGGAACAGGTTGACAAAGGAGTGCTGTAATTATGACCTACAGTTTGGGAACAACTTATCTAAAACATTCCCCTTCCATTTTACTTAATGGAACCAGTCTTATCCACCCATCCACTCTACTCCACTCCCACTCCGTCTTCTACTATCTTCATTCATAACAATCATATGTAATGCATACATCTGACACATATAGATAAGAGTACAACATAAAATGCCTATTACACCAAATTCCTGTTTGTCCATTTAAGCTCCAGACAAGCTCATTTTTAAACGTCTTTTTTCTCTATTTTAATGCCACCCAAAACCAAAGTGATGTCCCTCTGGAATGATTTTCTGCAGTTTCTTTTGTGTGTTATTAAGTACTAAGATGATCAAAATAAACAAAAATGTCTCAGAAGTTTTGAGTGGATCACTCCAATAAGAAGCTACATTTTTCCATTTAATAAAAGTTAAGAGGTAAGTTGTAACTTTCATCACTTTGTTTTCTTTATGTTTATTCCATTGGGCTTATACTGTTGCTAGGAAACCAGTTCATAAGATTTCCCAGCCCACAGAACACCCTCCTAGGCAGCCTGGAGGATACCAAACTTCGTAACCAGGGCAATTCTCTACCACACAGTTTACTGGTTAGCCAACACCATGCAGGTGCACTCTGCCTGGCATGACCCTTACTACATTTACCTAATAGGTACAGACAGTATAACCAATCCCCTCAACGCAATAGAAATTGTAGCAGAGGGCAATCAGGTGATCATTAAGTGTAGAACTCTCCGACAGCAGGGAACACAACAGCGAATTTGTTGTCAGTCCCTGTCACCCCACCCAACTAAATATTGTGGGGGGGGGAAGGGTTGCCTTAAATTGTGAAGTAAAATGTCAGCCCACTCCAATAACTCCACCACGCAACATGCAAACTGCTTCCAAAAACCATCATCCAACTCCCACCCGGATTAATATTTGGAGAGAAAGGTGGCATCAGTATCCGCACAGCTGAGAGGGGAGGGAAGGAAAGAGTCAGAATTCATAAGGGGCCGCTGAGTCACCTAAAATTGTGGCCAAGACTTTACCCTCCAGGAAATCGAGCTCTGCCCCAACTCTCATCAAGGAAGCAAGTGAGAGTAGCAGCAGCAACATCATCCTACCAAAAAAACACCAGCGCAGCTTTTAATAGAGTTCCACTCCTTAAAGTGAAGCCAAAAATAGGTTTCATGTCCAAAGCTTTCCTCCGCAGTAGGCGACACGCGCAGATGGAGAAAATATCTTTATTGTTGGGAAAGGGAGGCGTGCTAACGGGGACGAAGGATACCTCACCACTTGGCAAAGTTACTGGCTCCTGCCTTGACCCTGAAATGCCACTTTTATTGCAACATGTGGCCCAAGAAACTCTAAGGAAATGTGGCTGGCAGACGCTGTAGAGCTTTTACCCCAATGTACTTGGCAAAGTAAAAGGGGATACATAAACCAGGCGCGTTCTGTGTAATCTAAGCAAGAATCAAGGTCTCCGTTCGGTAGGCGCTTCGGTGACACAATAATCACGTGTTCGTGGGCGTAGACTTTCGAAAACACTCGATTCTGGGACGTGCAGATACCGGTACCCACCGGCGAGCGCAGGAACGAGTGGGCACTCCCACCCCCGGGAGCTGGCTCCGTTCCCGCAGGAGGTTGGTCACGCCCCCTGACTCCTGGTCGCTGCGACAGCCAAGGGCGAGGCCGCAGCAGGCGGGCTGCAGGCGGCGGAAGCTCGTCCGCGCTCCTCCCCCGGTGGGGCGCTCTCCGCTCGCCTCGCGCGGCCCCGACCCCAAGACCCAGGCCCCGGAAGGCGAGCGTTCACTTACCTGCTCCCCTCTCTCGCTCTCCGCTGCCGCCGCTGCGCCGCTCACCCACGCTGCCCGGTGAGCCACCCCCAGCACACAGACCCCTACGCGTACACCCGAGGCACGGCCCCAGGCCCTTGAGGGGAGACCGCGGCCCAGCCACACAGGTTGGGGTAGCCCACGCACCACCCGGCTTCGAACACCTCTGCCCCCGGAAGTTGATTTCCGCCAAGGCCCGCCCAACACAGCGCCCGTCACTCAACGTAAACACGCGCGTCACGTGGCCCCAGGCCGAGGCCCGGGTCGGGGCCCCATGTTCAGAGCCCTGCCACCCCAGCTTGAGCGTGGTCTTTGGAGCGTTGCCCTGTGAAAAGGGGTGACTTTGCCATGCTCCTTCCCAGTCTACCTCCTGTTAGTTACAGTTTCTCATTCCTCTTGAGTAGCAGGCCCTGTTTCTCCACCTAATCCCTGCAAGTAAACCGTCCCCCAAATCAAAATGAGTTCCATCTGGAACTTTGTAGGATTGGTCCTAAGAAGATCCCGCCGAATCTCTTCACCACTTCCTAGCAGAGCACAGTAAAACCGGGGACTAAGCAAAGTGGCTGACATGTAGTAAGTGCTCAAGAAATGGATGTTGACTAGATGCTACCTCTCATCTTTGCCTGTCTGAACTCTCAAGCACCGGATGCAAGTAGACTGAGAGCCTCCGCCAACCAGTAAGATGACTTTGGTCAAAGAATTCTGCTCTAGAGTTACTTTTGTTCTTGTCTTCAACTCCAGATCACAGCAATTCATACGTGCCATCTCTGTTGCAGAGTTTTCTTGCAAAGCCTTTCTTAAAAGCTTTCTGTCAAATAGCTTGTCCTGAAGCAATAGGAAAAGAATAGCGTAATTCACAGATTATTTATTTGAAAGGAAGGAATGATTATATAGATGTCTTTGTCCATTTCAGACTGTCAATAGCGATGAGAGAAACAGTCAACTAGCAGTCCACTCGTGAATGTTTCTTCTGTTTTTGCCATGGAAGGATTTTGAAGAACATTCATTCAACAAATTTTTATTGATTGTATACCACATACCTAGTCCTGGGCCAAGTTTTGACAATTCAAGAGTGAGCAAGGTAACACTCAAGATATTTGTCTTCAAGAAGCTTACAGTCTAGTGAGAAAGAAAGACACTAACCTGGGGACTTTGAGCATAAATCTCTGGAATATTCACATTCCTTGTATAACAAGTATTCTTTCATCCTTGGACACTGGGTTTCTCATCTGTTGAACAAAATTGGCTTAAACCTGTAATCTCTGTTCTGTACTGGAAGTGGAAAATATTAGCAAGGCATCCTGACAAGTCTGCCATAAGTGCTGGCCTAAGTAGTTAATGAGCAGTTTCAGTATTGAGCAAGTCACCTTGACTACATTCTTTTTCCAGCCCACCCCCTTCTTTATGCATACAAAAAACATTTCTATTGTAAGAAATGTAATGCTTTCTTACACATATTTTTTTATCTGTCTACTAGACTACCAAGTCAAGGACCACTTCTCACTTGTATATCCAGCAATCTACTCACTTCTCATTTGTCTTTGTGTATCCAGCAGTCTAGCAAAGTGTCTAGTAGTTAGAAAAAAGGTATTCATAAATATTTCTTAAACTTAGTAAGGTTACCTTTATATTATTTTGTCTCTCATATCTCTTTCTGCTGGAAACCAGATTAGTTTCTGGGAGTTCCTTCCCATTGATGTACTTACATGTTCACTCTGTCCCGATATTCAATACTAAACTGTATTCCATACTAAACAGATTTATAATAAGTAACTAATATTTATTATTAATATTTGCTATGTGCCTGGCATTAGATTAAATATTTTAAATCCCATATATAACTTACCACAATAATTTTACAAAGTAGGTATATTAATATATTTACACTTTAGATGAGGTTACAGATTTAGGAAGTGTAAATTGACCAAGTGGATTTAAAGCCAGATCTGCCCAACAGAAGGGCTTGTTTATTCACTATAGCACATCACTTTGCTTTTTATATCACTTATTTATCAGTGAATTCAAATCCTACCAACTCCATGAAATCTTTCTTCCTTCCCCACAGTAATCTTTTTCTTTATAAACAATTCAGTGATTTTAGTATATTCACAGAGTTATGCATGCTTTACCACATTCGATTTTAGAGTATTTTCACAGCCCCAAAAAGAAACCCCATACCCTTTGGCCCCAACTTCTCCCTCCTCTCCCCAGCCCTAGGCAACCAGTAATCCACTTTCCGTCTGTATGCATTTGTCTATCTTGAACATTTCATATAAATGGAATCATGCAATGTGTGGTCTTTTGTGACTGGCTTCTTTCACTTAACATGTTTTCAAAGTCCCTTCATCGGTTGGGTTGTTTCAGCTTTTTGAATATTATGAATAATGCTCCTGTTGACATTCATGTACAAGTTTTCGTGTCAACATATGTTCTCATTTCTCTTGGATATATACCTAAGAGTGGAATTGCGGGGTCATATGGTAACTCTATGTTTAA
This sequence comes from Homo sapiens, assembly GCF_000001405.40. Lineage (NCBI taxonomy): Eukaryota > Metazoa > Chordata > Mammalia > Primates > Hominidae > Homo > Homo sapiens. Next base: position 28,188,127 of record NC_000012.12, on the reverse strand, counting down.
CCCCTTGTGGAACTACCACACTGTTTTCCAAAGTGGCTGTACCATTTTACTTTCTCACCAGCAATGTATGAGGGCTCTAATTTCTCTATTGTGCCTTTTCTTGTCTCTCTAGAACATGTGCCTCTCTTACTTTTCAGAATACTTTTTCCATGAGCCATCTTCAATTATTATTCTTTGTTGTACATGTATCTGCAAGCCCATTTTCCTAATAGTTTGTGACCTTCTGAGATGAAAAACATGGTGCCTGCCCTTAAGAGAATCACATCTAGAAAAATATACAATCAAATCAGATATTACAGTGATAATAAACACTGAAATAAAGGTTATTGCTAAAAGGTGGAGAAAGAACACCTCACTCAGCCTAGGTTAAACAGGAAGTACTTCTCATAGAATGTATCAAAGCTCAGGATTAGTCCTGAAGAATCTATTGGAATTGACCAAGCTAAGGAAAGACATGAGTATGCTCCAGAAAAAGGAACATATACCTTTGTATATATTTCCTTGTCTATGAACTGTGGAGGTAAGTATATTTTGCAGGTAAGCATACCATAGAAGCAAACATTGTGGTATGCAGGTATGCAGCAGGAGAAATGGGAAATGTAGATGTAAGATGATGAAGAGTTTTGTAAACTGTGTTAAGGAGTTTGAACTGTATCCTGAAGGTAATGGGAAATTGCTGAATTAGTTAAGCAAGGTTGGAGAAGAATTACTTCAGCAGCAGTATAGAGGAAGGATTATTGGGTAGGAGAGACGGGGCCAAGACTAGAAAAACAAACAAACCAGATAGAAGACATAAAATAACTAAAATGAGGAATTAATGACTGCCTGAGCCGAGATGGTACCCATGAAATTGGCAGAAAGGATTTTAAAGGCACATGGCCAACAAAAAAGGAGGAAAGAAGCCAGTCACGGTGGCTTATACGTGTAACCCCAGCAATGTGGGAGGCTGAGGTAGGAGGATCACTGGAGCCTGGGAGGTGGAGGCTGCAGTGAGCTGTGATTGTGCCACTGCATTCCAGCTGGATGACAGAGCAAGACCCTTTCAAAAAAAAAAAAAAAAGGAGGAGTAAGAAGAAGAAGAAAGAATTGAAGATATATTCCAGGTTTCTGGCTGTAGTCATCAAGAGGAAGATTGGGCACTTGGTGATAAGAATAATGAAACACTACAATGATGGTATCTTAGTTTGTTCAGGCTGCTATAGAAAAATACTGGGTAGCTTATGAATGCAAATTTATTTCTCACAGGTCTGGAGTCTAAGAAGTTCAAGATTAAGACACCAGCAGATTGGATGTCTAGTGGGGCCCTGCTTTCTGGGTCATAGATTGTGCCTTCTAGCTGTGTCCTCATGTGGTGGAAGAGACAGGGCGGCTCTCTGGAGCCTCTTTTATAAGGGCAGTAATCCTAGTCATGAGGCTTGTGTCCTCATGATTTAATCACCTCCCAAAGGCCCCACCTCCTAACGCTATCTCATTGGTGATTAAGTTTAACATATGAATTGTGGGGGGACAAAAACATTCAGACCACAGCAGATAGGTTGCAGGAATTTAAACTGCCATTGAAGTTTATGTGCTGTTGCAGTCACCCACAGAAATGAGATGAACCCTCACCCAAACTTTGGCTCCTATTTCAAGACTTAGCATACCACATATGCACCAACAGGGTATAAAAAGGTTTATTACTCACATAATGAGCCTTTCTAGGAAGAGTACAGCAGACCTCCTAAGCAGGTTTTAAAATGACTTGAGAGAGTAGGAGAAAAAGCTATTGGGATTTTTTTCATGGCTAGGACATGGCGCTTGGGTGAAAAAGCCCACACAGGGCAGGGACTGTATGGCTCAAATTTTCCACCAGCACCAAAATAGGAAATACCTATTTTGCACCATATTTGGATCTAGGCAAGCTTTCTCATCAAGTTGCCTAGATTCAGATATCATACAAAAGGGAACAGGTGAGGAGCCGGACTTAAAACTTGTTAAGAATCAAACATAAAAAATTATGTCAGACACAATTACATATTCTTAGATCTAGTTTAACTGCAACTAACAATATAGTTGTTACATATATATATGCTTTGAAAGTGATTATCATGGACACTGTAGTTGCAATCCCAACATTTATTCCACTCTTCCCACATTGTGCATAGTACACCTAAGAAATTGAGGTGAAATTAACCTCACCTTTATCTCCAAAGTTAGTCCAGTTAAGATAACCCAATCCCAACCTACGTTGTTCCCCTGGCCACAAGATGTTGTTCAGGGTTGAGCAAATTGGCACCAATTACAGGACTTTAGCCCCAAAATTGTGGGCTGTGGCTCCTTTCTCTCCCTTGATAAATGAGAAAGCATGTGGTTCTTGTTACTGAGGGCAGTCATCTTGTAACCAAGAAAATAAAAAAGCTGGAACCCTGATCAAATAAGCAAAGATTTATAACTTTGTATATAAGAAGAAGGACATAAACAGTAAACTGTGAAGGTTTTAAATAAACACTTTTCTGCCTCCTTCCTTTTAATCTACTGGTTTCTTCTGTTATGGCAGCTTTTAGGTCAAATTAATACAGAGCTTGATTTTTCTACTTACCCTCACTGGTACTGAATATTAGTTAAGTCAGTTTAAATTTGTTATTATTATACTTCACCTTAAAAGACTTTAGTGTATATAATTTGATATAAATGTACATGTGTGTTTCCAGATTTACCCTACCCTCTAATGATTGTCAGTTGCCATCATATAGAATTTATACTCCAGGTTGATAGGTAATCAGAAGAGCTGCACTCCAAATGTAGCCACCATTAGTGCTTATTATTATTTCCCATTACTGGAGACCTTGCTAATCAATAAAATTAATGTTAAAAATAGGTTTTAATGGGTGAAATTTGTGGTTCGTTAATTTAGGTAATGGAAGTTATAAATTGACTCTCCATTAATGAATCAATGATGCTCACCATATGTAAATTGGGTAATGTATTTCAGAGACGGCTCCTACCTTACGTGAGCAAGGTTATAAGAAGCTAGCAAACCCTGTAGCCTACACACTTAGAAATAGCACCCTTCAAATTTCAAACCTGAATGTCTAAAATTTCAGTAATCATAGCATGCCAAAGGTGGAAAAATTTAATGTTCTGCTTAACGAAAGGGAGAATCATGTTCGTTACGAAGATTACTAGAGATACCATGCCCATTATGGAGATAAGGAATAAAACGTTATTGCCTTTCCCTCTACCATGCAAGTTCATTTTTTAAATATCCCCAGTGAAGATATCGGGATAAGCTATTAAACTAAATTTAGACCAGCAGAACATGAAGGATTACTAGGAAACAGAAATTCCAAGATAAAAAAACTAGGGCTAGACATGGTCTTTGCCATGGTTACTTGCCTACAGAAATAACAAGAAGCAAATAGTTCTAAAACCTAATATTTAAGGGAAAATGTATTGTTAAATAAATCTCAAGGCTGACTGATGATAGCCTGTGACTATTTAATGTTAGGAGTATCCTCAAATATCTAAACTCAACCTAATAGGAGATGAGCTAGCAAAATGATGCAACCTCCCAAAAAGAGGATCTTCCCCAATGACCATCTCAGATAGGGCAGTGGAGGACATAGAGAGCAAAAGAGTAACTGCTGAAAGAACACATACCACTGCCAGCCAACAGTCCTCATTATTCCTGTCTACAGAGTATGACAGGGATCAGAAACCACTGTGTCCCTTTTTTTTTTTAGACAGAGTTTCGCTTTTGTTGCCCAGGCTGGAGTGCAATGGTGCCATCTCAGCTCACCGCAACCTCCACCTCCCGATTTAAGCAATTCTCCTGCCCCAGCCTCCCGAGTAGCTGGGATTACAGGCATGTGCCACCACACCCAGCTAATTTTGTATTTTTAGTAGAGACAGTGTGTCTCCATATTGGTCAGGCTGGTCTCGAACTCCCAAGCTCTGGTGATCCGCCTACCTCAGCCTCCCAAAGTGCTGGGATTACAGGAGTGAGCCACTGTGCCCAGCCTGTGTCCCCTCTTTAATTGGGAGTTTTTATTGCAGTGATTTTGACCTTTCTTTTTCATTGCTTTTTGCATTTTTCATTTCTTTTTGCATTTATTTTTTCATTGCTTTTTGCATTTCTTTTTCATTGCTTTTTACATTTATTGCTTTTTGCATTTATTAACATTTGTTGTTAGTTGCTAGACCATAAGGAAGGAATTCCAGGTAAACCTAACATATTGTATTAGTCCAATTTCTTACTGCTATAAAGAACTTCCAAACACTGGGTAATTTATAAAGGAAATTGACTCACAGGTTTGCACGGCTGGGGAGGCCTCAGGAAACTTACAATCATGGCAGAAGGAGAAGCAGGCACATCTTACATGGCGGCAGGTGAGAGAGAGAGCATGAGCCTGTGAAGGAGGAACTGTCAAACACGTATAAAACCATTAGATCTCATGAAAATTCGCTCACTATCACGATAACAGCATGGGGGAACCACCCCCATAATCCAATCACTTCCTTCCCTCAACACATGGGGATCACAGGTCCCTTCCTCAACACATGGGGATAACTATTGGAGATGAGATCTGGGTAGGGACACAGAGCCAAGCCATATCACATATTGTGGAGTGAGAGAGAGAGTGGGGAAAAGAAAGATACATGTTAATTACAATGGTTGGGGAGCACAAGAGTATACTACAGTGGACCTGGTAGTTGTTACTCAAACATGCATTTTACCCTCACCCCATTGTGTAGCTTTCAGCCGTGTTCAATGAGATTGACCCCATCCCTTTTCTAAGGGTGAGTCCTGATTGGTCTAAGCTAAAAGTTACCCCAACCTCCTTGACACAGTTATTGTGAGTGGACAACCCTGTCCTAGCCCAATCATAGCATTACCCTAATCATATGAATTATTTCAGGGATTATCCAACAAGTACAAACCTCAGGACAATTGTTCGATAGTTGTCAGGAAGAACTTCCTATAAGTGATGAAGCCTGTAACCCCTCCTGCTTTTAACAACTAATTTGTGACTGTAAAGGAAACCAGTCTGAGGACAAAGCAGATGCAGACAGTAAAACTAAGTTGATATAATGCAGAGAAATGGAGCTGAAACTTTGATCAAATCAATTCTAAAGCTTCCTTCACCTCCATGGGACTTTTCATTTATGTGAACAATCCCTTCTATTGTTTAATCTAGTTTGAATTAGGGTTTCTGTTACTTGCAATCCCAAATGTTTTAACTGGTAGAAAGATTCTGTATTTCTAACCTCTTATTAAATGTTAGAAAATAATTGTTTTTTATAAAAATGGAAATGAGCCATAACTACTTTCTTCTGTGTCCATGCTCATGCCAGAATGAGGCTGAATATGAGCTACTGTTCCTGAGTGCAGTTCTCTCAGATTCCTGCACTACTCAGCTTCCCACATTAAACCAATAGAAAAGCATTTCAAATATTTATTTGTAACACTGTGTATATACAAAATTAAAGAGTAAACTGTGAAAGTTTTAAATAACACTTTTCTGGCCCTTTCTCTAATCAGGTCTCCTTTGGATTCAGTGCTGTACATAACCCATTTATGAAATCTCCATTACCTAGGAGACACATGATCCCTAACTTCTCACTCTTTGGAAAATTGTCATTGGCCACCATATTGGCTTGCCTGGTTAACTGAACTCATAACGGGGCAAGAATCACTCCCTTAAATTGCTTCAAGTATCTCAGAGCCTAATACAGAAAAGAAAGCCCAAGCAGAAAGAGAAGAGAAGCCATGATTTGATCTGTGTAATCATTACAACAAATTAACAAAATTAATTTATATGATAAGTTGCCTTCAACTATTATCTCCAAATAAATAACTAAAAAATGTAGTGACTATCAATAGAAAGTACATGTGTCCACTCTATTTCCTTTAGTCTTCATTACATACTTAAAAAACATAAATGAACAAATAACTTTTATTTGTGAAATTAAACTTTCTATAAACAAAAATTTATGCTGGAATATTTTTTGTATTCTGGATTAAACACCTAAATCATTCATATAATTTTTAATCATTTGTTAAATAACATACCTCTGGCTGCTAAATTTTACTTTTAAAAAATTCAACCTTTACCCTAGATTCAGGGTGCACATGTGCAGGTTTGTTACAAGACTATAGTGTGCATTGCTGAGGTTTGGTATATGATTGAATTCATCACCCAGGTAGTGAGCATAGTACCCAGTAAATAGTTTTTCAACCCTTCCCCCACTTCCTCCCTCTTATTGTAGTCTCCAGTGTCTATTGTTTCCATCTTTATGTTTGTGTGTACCCACTGTTTAGCTCCCACTTATAAGTGAGAACATGTAGTATTTAGTTTTATGTTTCTGTATTAATTCACTTAGGATAATGACCTCCAGCTCCATCCGAGTTGTTGCAAAGAATATTATTTCATTCTTTTTTATAGCAGCATAGTATTCCATGGTGATTATGTACCACACTTTCTTTATCCAGTCCACCATGGATGGGCACCTAGGTTGATTCCATGTCTTTGCTATTGTGAATAGTACTGCAATGAGCATACAAGTGCCTTTGTCTTTTTGGTGGAATGATTTTCTTTGGGGTATATACCCAGTAATGGGATTTCTGGATTGAATGGTAGTTCCATTTTTAGTTCTTTGAGAAATCTCCAAACTGCTTTCAACAGGGGCTGAACTATGTTACATTTCTGCCAACAGTGTATAAGAGTTCCCATTTCTCTGCAGCCTCGCCAACATCTGTTATTTTTGACTTTTAAATAATAGCTATTCTAAATGGTGTGAGATGGCATCTCATTTTGGGTTTGATTTGCATTTCTCTGATGATTAGTGATGTTGAGCATTTTTTCATATGTTTGTTGGCCACATGTATATCTTCTTTTCAGAAGTGTCTGTTCATGTCATTTGCCCACTTTTTAACAGGATTATTTGTTTTCTGCTTGTTGATTTAAGTTCCTTATAGATTCTGGACATTAGACCTTTGTTGAATGCATGGTTTGTTAATATTTTCTCCAACTAAATGCTACTTTTTATGATACGCATTAAAAAATCAAAAAGCAAGCTAGGCTTTACATCTGTATTTAACTATTGTATTGCTTCCTTAGTAGTTACTGCACCACTTTTGCAGATGTACCAAGCAATACTCTGGGCAGAAAGCCAGGCAAGAGCTACTACGACTAAGATAAATTGAGTTTGAACTAAACTTTTTCAAAATTTTTGGTGCACCACAAAATTTACACATCATGAGAAAACTCTAAAGTTTGAAAAATGGAGTTCTAAAGAACACAGTCGAACCCCAAGCAGCACTCTCTTGAGAGTCTGATCACTCTTTTAACTTGACAAGAACAAGTAAAGTGTTGTATGTGAGCAGTGGAAGGTCCTCCTGCTTTTTCCTCTTTCTTTAGGTTAGGGATTTTATATGATCCTAATGATAAAAGGGAATTTTGTGTTCTTATGTCAAACTTTAACCTAACTTTGAGAAAAAAATTATCCAAACATCTGAAAGAAAATTATGTCTATTAGGCACTAACTCTGCCTGTAAATTTGTTATATTGTCAATTCAAGAATATTTGGCTTCCAATTTAAAATATAAATAAAGACTAGTCAAATTTTTCTTTGATAACATTTTTATAAGTTTGAATACATAGTTATAAGGACATAAAGTCAGAGAGCGTATCAAGCCTGCAGTTGTCTAAATCTGCCTGTGGTAGTAAGCTACAAACCCACTGTGTTTTTGAGGAAAAAAGGAAATTCACTAAGAGCTAAGGCATTATTTTGCCTATTATACATACTATATATTAGTTTCATACACTTATTAGAATCTTTGCTTAAGATATGTATCTTAAACCCCAGAGTCATATGATAATTTGCCTAATAATTTTCTATCAAAGTTATACAATTTAACAAATGTTGATAATGCCTTCACTAGAGATTAAGTAGCAATAAAATTGTCTTTTGCTTTAATGAAGTCATATTTTTAGTACAGTTATGTTTGTAAGATACCCACAAGTTAATCTCTTATGGAAATATTTGATAATTAAGCTGAGTAAAATATGGATTATAAGAATCCTATTAAAAATAATATGAATAACAGCATGCTCTTTGCTAAGAAAATGTTATTAGTTCTTAATCACCATATGATTACCTCTTGCATAGGCATCATTTCCCCAAATTTATAATAATAGCATAAATGTCCATTGTTAATCATCTGTAGTGACATGAATATGCTTTATAATCACTACATGTAGCTATGGGATATATTAACTCTTAATTATATTTATTCACTAAAATACACATGCATTTGAGAGAGCAAGTCACTGTCTATAGAAATTTACTCTTGTATTAACCTCAACAAAATTATTCTATCCTGATTTTCCAACTTTTCAGATGATTCTTTATCCAATTCACAGTCTCCTTTCACCTTCTTCTTCATTGTAGCTATGCTGCAAGTTTCTATCCTTTGTTCTCTTCTCACTTGGATTTAGGCATTCTCTGGTAATCTTTTCTATTCATCACAAACGATATCACCTTAACGTAAATAATTCTGGAATACACATATATCTTCTACATAAACTTATTTCTCAATCTACATTAATGTATTCTACATATCTACACAAAACCCATTTACCATATCCACATTTGATGACCCAGTGAAAGTTTGGTGTTTTTTTTAATTATTCGGTCCAGAATTATCTAAGAATAGCTAAGAATAGATTTCAGTTAAGACTAGATTTTATAGCTGCCTACTAGATATGTACATAGACGTCCCACAAGAAATTAGAACTTACGTGTTCCAAAACAAAGTTATCATCTGTCCTCCACACAACCTATCCAACCTCCTTGCTCAGTTGCTTTTGTAAGCACTTGCATTAGTTAGAACATTAGTTTCAGCTCCTTTAACAAAGACTCCAAAATAATTGTGACTTAAACAAGATAAGTTCTAATTGTTATCTCACATAAAAGCATAAGCCTAGGCAATGCAGGGCTGATACAGTGGCTCCACGTAAGGAGACGCTACTTGACCTCCTTACATCTTGTTGTTCTCCCATTTTCAACATATGGCGTCCTTTCCACGGTCTAATATAAGTGCTCCAATTTCTGCCATTATGTCCGCATTCTAACTAGCAGGAAAAGGGAAAAGGGGAAGTGAAGGGCATACCTCTTCTTTAGCAGAGCAGGGCACAGAAGGCAAACATTTTACTCTCACATCTCACTGGCTAGAACTTGGCCACATAGCCATACCGAGCTACAGGGTAAGTTTCAAACTGCCCTCTTTGTCTGGGCAGCTTTGTGGCCTGCTAAAATTCGGGGATTTTATTACAAAGAGGAGTGGGATGATATATAGTGTGGAATAGCCACTGGTTCTTTTCAGATGCAGTTCCTTAAATGCTTTCGCTCTCCTTCCTCTACTTCACGGCTGCTACTGCCTTGTTAATGTATATTTATTCTTTCCATGTGAATGCATATTGAATGATATTTGATCCTGTAATCTAAGTGGGATGGAAAAGAATGCATTCACCAAACTGAAGACCACATGCCATGTACCTAAGGCCATGTTGATTCACTCTAATAAAGATACCACATCTGGCATAATAACTGTCAGGAGGGCTACTACTACTTGGTTGAGCTTGAGGAAGTCTATAGTCATTCTTCAGGATCCATCCTATTTTTGCAGAAGCAAGACGAGTGAATCCAGTGGATGGGTATGACCATTCTGCATCCTTTAGATCTGGGGTTAGCAAACTTTTTATGTACAGGAACAGATAGTTAATATTTTAAGCTTTATAAGTCAGGTGGTCCTTGTTGCAACCAGTGGGCCCAATATAAGCTGAATCTGGACAGAATTCCATTTTTAAAACTGGCCTTCACATGCTCCAACTATAAATTAAGGCCCTAATGTGTTGGTTCTCCTAGTATCAGTGTCAACTAAATGTCCAGCTGGTTCACATTACCCAAGTGTATTAGTCCATTTTCATGCTGCTATAAAGAACTTCCCTGAGACTGGGTAATTTATAAAGGAAAGAGGTTTAATAGACTCACAGTTGTGCACAGCTGGAGAGATCTCAGGAAACTTACAGTTATGGCAGAAGGGAAGCAGGCACATTCTTGACAGGAGGCAGGAGAGAGAATGAGCAAGAGCAGGGAAAACTGCCTTATAAAACCATCAGATCTCATGAGAACAGCAGGGAGAAAACTGTCCCCATGATCCCACCTCCCTCCCTCAACACGTGGGGATTACAGGTTCCTTCCTCAACATGTAGGGATTATAATTTCTGATAAGATTTGGGAGGGACAGAGAGCCAAACCGTATCACCAAGTAAATGGCCTTTGGTCCCTTTGAAGAAGGACTAAGGGAATCATTACCAGGTGTACTTGCCATGGCATCACAAGGTCCATCCCCAGGAGGCCTAAACACGTCAATGAATGAGATACAGGTCTGAAAATTGACTCAGGCCCATAAACTGGGCAAGGGATTATGACACAATAAAGTATCACTCTGTTATTCATGCTTGATTTCTTCTAACAGTACATGCTGAGTGATTCCATTGTCACTACCAATTTATTTTGTCTCTAGCATTGTCAAATTCTATTAATATGTTCCATAATTCTGTGGTTCTTTCTGGGCTGCCATTCTGACCTTGTTGATGCTTACAATTATTTAAAATCCCTGGCTTCTGGCAGTTAAATGCCACAACTGGCCTCTGTTTTTCCAGGGTTCTATCAACTTCTTTGTTACCAATGAGTCAGGTTCTGTAATGGCCTCTCCTACAGTGACCTCTGGCCTAAAGAGGAGCATCACTACTCTGCTTGTTAGTGTTGCTAGTGCTTCTTTCACCAGCTCATTCATTACAGCCTTGGTAAACTGTGTATCCTTTGGGCCTTCCCATGGAACATATTCCTCTCAGTCTTCCAGCCTTATTTGTATTTTCATTCCAGCATGCTTATTTTCCTCAGCCTTTCCCTTCCTCAACCTTCTTCCATGGCAATCCCAGCATTTCAACTTTGCTTATTATTAACCATCTATCTTAGTGGGCATATAACCATCTTTGAAGTTCAGCTACTCTGACTATAAAGTCTAGTCTTGGTCTTCACCTTTCTCCAGCCTCCTCCTGCAGGAAATGAGAGCTTCTTTTTTATGCAGCCAAAGAGGCCCTCTGACAATCTCACTTGGTTTTTAATTGCTTGTTATTCGCTCTGATTTTTTCATTATCTTTGTGTAGAGCATCAATACCGCTTAGCAATAGCCATCCAATTCCTTTATCTTTATCGCTACTTTATTCCCCATACATCTCAAATATATCTGATTCATCTGGCCAGTTCACAAACAGTGAAAATGTTAATAATTTGATTACTACCTTGTGATAATAGCTGTTTGTGCTCCATTTACCACAAGTAATGCCAGGAGGCAATGAATGACTCAGGCAAAAAGCCCATCACCTACTCTCTTGGACCAGTCCTGGTACCAAATTCATGGATTGCATTCTCAGGAAGCAGACGCCAAAACAAGAATTTCAGCATGCCAGCATGCAGGGTGCTTATTAGGGATCAAACCTTTGATAGGAAGTGAAGTGAAACAGCATTGGTCAGAGAGAGAAGTTGAACTGCGATACAGACGCAACAGAACTTCAGCCAACTCAGCAGAAAGCTCTGGAACAAATATGTCTATCAGAGTTGTCCTGCATTTGTATTCAGACTTCTCTCCTCTACCAGATGCAGATTGCCCTGGTTAAGGGTAGGACCTTGGAAAAGACTGCTCTCTGAACCTGAACAGACAGCTATAAATTACTGGCCATATTTCCTGCAGCTGCATAGGAAATCCTCTTTGAAGAGGAATCTGGGGGTGCATCTCGGTGTCTATCACATTAAACCACTAGGAAGTTTCTCTGTGGATGAAGCATTCTCATCTTTGTTTTTGAACATGCTGTTTCCTCTTCCAGGCATAATCTTCCTTCTGTCGGTCTCCTGGATAGCATCTGTCCATCCCTGGAGATTCAACTCAGACTCAACCTCCTCTGGAAAGTCTTCTCTGAAATTTCCAGATTATATTAGCTGCCTATTCTCTGAGGCCTCATCACACTTCATTTATACTAATATTATAGCCATTCACAAGCCACATTGTAATAATTTGCTTACACCTTTTGCCCTATATATTATGAAATCCTTGAAGACATGGATTATGTGTTTATTTTTGTATCCACAACATCTAAAATAATGTCTTTCACATAAGAAACACTATGTAGAAAATCTGAAACAATTAACCAAAAAAACCCCTCCTGGAACTAATAAGCAATTATAACAAAGTTTCAGGATGCAAGTTTAATAAACAAAAGCTAAATAAACTCTTACCATATGATCCAGCAATCATGCTCCTTGGTAATTAACCAATGAATTGAAAACTTAGGTCCACACAAAAATCTGCACATGGATATTTGCAGCAGCTTTACTCATAATTGCCAACACTTGAAAAGAACCAAGAGATCCTCAGAAGGTGAGTGGATAAATGAACTATGGTATATCAGACAATGGAATATTATTCAACATGAAAAGATAATGAGCTATCAAGCCTTGAAAAGACAAGGAAGAAACTTAAATGCATATTACTAAGTGAAAGGAGCCAATCTGTGAAAAGCTACATACTGTGCTTCTAACTATATGACATTCTGGGAAAGGTAAGACCATAAAGACAGTTAAAAGATCAGTGGTTGACAGGGATTGGCAGGAGAAAAGGGTGAATAGGCAGAGCACAGAGAATTTCTCAGACAGTAAAACTATTCTGTAGGTACTACAGTGATGGATATGTCATTATACATTTGTCAAAACCTATTGAATATACAACATCAAGAGTGAACCCTCATGTAAACCATGAGCTTTGTGTGTAATGATGTGTCAATGTAGGTTTATCAACTGTAACACGTGTACTCTGGTAGTAGGGGTGTAAGGCATGTGTGGGGACAGGGAATATATGGGAACTCTGTACTTTCTGCTGTTTGTGAAACTAAAACTGCTCTAAGAAATAAAGTTTATTAATTAAAAAACTGTAAAGCCTTATATGAAGATAAGATGTCAGTCAACATTATATACAAATTGTCAAAGTCATTTAAAATATGCCATTTAAATTCTATGACTTAGTGGTTGCCTTTTATTTTTTGCATGGTACCAACCAAAACAAATTAGATATAAGAAAAAGCAAACTAAGGACTTCATATAATGCATTATAATATTGTGTTGTATCACATACAATGCTGTCAATTTCCCTATTTGATATATAAATATTTGCTTTATTTTAGACGGTTTCAGTACAATACAAAATACAGATATATTCTATTTGATTAAATTGTGATGGCATATATTGGTAGATATTCATTCAAAGGCTGAACATTTAATAATGAAAAAAACTACTGGAAAGTAATTAAGGAAGTTGCTAATCAGTTCATTAATTAAGTATATCTGCTGCACATTATACAGAAACAAATTAAAAAGGATTCTGTGCTAGCCAGAAATTCCCTCTCAAATGTAGTCAAAAGAGAAGATTAAAAACAAACAAAATGAAAACAAAACTGAGTGAATTATTTCTATGGGAAATTGCAATTTGATATATACCATTTATCCTTATGGTACCTTTTAAGCTACATAATATACAATACAAAAATTGAGTTTAAATATATAGTACACATACAGTTAATATCTGTTGGTTTAAAATCATTATTCATTAATGTCTGATATCATTAGAAACAGAGTTTTACAGTTAAATGAACTTAGATGCAATTTTATTTGAACTCCTCTCTGAATTCAGGAAACTAGTACCCACAGTTAAGCAACAAATCAGCAGAAACCAGCAGGAAAGTGTCTCACAGAAGGCTTTCTTATTTGAAAGCAAAATAAATTAACAATAAGTAAAAACCAGTTTACTGAGTTTGCGCATAAATGGCCTCAGACAATTAAAAGATTGAGATTCAAGAAAGGATGTGGTTCTTATATTTTTTTTTTCTTTTTTTGAAAAATTCCACCCTCACTTTGGCCCTCCAGCTTCCTCCTTACCCCCTTTTTTGTTCTTATATAATTTAAACTTTCAACTGCATGATAAAGAACGTAAGGAAAAATTACATTTCTATTTTAGTAGGTTCTAGATGATCAATCAGTTGCTTGGATTTTGAAGAGTCAAAATTTTGATAAATGGGGACATATTTTTATCAAGTTTAGCACTCCGTTAAACAAGAAAGCATTTATTCTATGTTTTTACAAGTGTTTTTTTTTTCAGTAAGGATATTTACACTTATTTGAAGATCATCCATTATTTGTATAACTTTTACAAAATGCAGATTCCTGAAGTTAGGAATAGAATTAAAAATGGACAAATATACTTGTGTACAAACAGCAAATAGAGTTGATTTCAGAAGCTAATGAACGTTAGACACTGGGTTATTTGTGTACCTCCTAGAATGTGAGGTTTGAGTGGTTTCATACCTGTTCTGAAGCTTTCATTATTGATTTAGCTGTGAATGGTATTCAGTCAGCTGGTAATAAATGAGTAATATCACCCAGCAATATGGCAGTTTTGATATGGTCAAAAGCTAGACATACCTGTGGTCCTTCCAAATCAAAGAGTACTTCTAATGTTATAAGATTGATTATTTGATTTTTGGACTTCTCCTCAAGAATGAGAAAGCTCCATGTTTTTATATATGAAATAAGACTCGTTTATGTGAATGTAGAGAATTTAGCATGTCAATTACAAAGAATCTGACTTCTCTGCAAGCTGAGAACAATATGTGATATGGTTTGGCTCTGTGTCCCCACCCAAATCTCATGTCAAATTGTAATACTCAGTGTTGGAGGAGGGGCCTGGTGGGATGTGATTGGATCTTGGGGGCAGATTCCCCCTTGCTGTTCTCGTGATAGTGAGTTCTCATGAGATCTGGTTGTTTAAAAGTGTGTAGCACTTCCCTCTTTGCTCTCTCTCTCCTGCTGCACCATGTGAAGATGTGCCTGCTTCCCCTTCACCTTCCACCATGATTGTAAGTTTCCTGAGGCCTCCCTAGCCATGCTTCCTGTATAGCCTGTGGAACCATGAGTCAACTAAACCTCTTTTCTTCATAAATTACCGAGTTGCATGTAGTTCCTTATAGCAATGCTAGAACGGACTAATACAACATGTTTTACCATTGTTTTCATACAATGCTTTGGGGATATATGAAGATGCAGGGAAATGTCATGGTAGAAGTAATAGCACAATTTTTTGAAAAGCTTGGGTTAGTAAGACTCATTACAAATATTCTGGATCCATTTTTGGCTAAATGAAGAGGAAAATTTTACCAACTGATGGCCATTTGATGACCTGCATGGAAAGAATTAGTAGGCTCAGGAGAGTATACAGTTGAGAGAAGTGATCACATCACAAAATGTGACATAATTCTTTGGCACTAACTGGCATCCTAGGCATGGAGAGTGAATTACATTCTCAACTCTGAATTTCCCCCTCTAGATTACCCATGTGGCTCACCAGAGGGCAGTGTGCAGTAATCAACTCTTTTGCTTCCTGCATTGGATGTCTCCTATGGAAAAACCAATGTCAAATAATCAGAACCAGACAACAGGCAAGACAATAGGTTATGAAAGTTGTTTATTAGATTTGTTGTACTGTGCCCTGTACATGGAATTCTTAACATTGAAAAATTAACCAATTACCGCATGAGAGATCATGTAATAAGGTTTTAGTGAATTCTGTATAATAGTTTCAATTTTATGACAATGATTTTGGCATTGCTGAGGTCAAGTGTCTCTTTTAGACTTAAAAATGTATAATATCCACTGGTCGATAAATTGCCTTGCTTCACATATCTCACACCTGAATTCTCAAGAGTTTCCAGTATTGCATACAGATTTATTCAGTGAATATTAATCGAACAATTAGAATGTGGGATATAACAAGATAAAGTACCTATAAATCCTGCTTACAAGAAACTTGAAATCTATCAAGGGATTAAAGTGTAAATGAAAATTAATACACTATCAAAATTACATAAAGTGGGAGTTACATATAAAATACTAAGAGAATTCAGTGAAGGAAAAGATAAAGGCATTTGGAAAGGGTTCAAAATTTGAGCTGAGTCTCACAGGTGAGGCAGAAAGCATTTGGACATATTGAGAGTAATGAAAGCACATGCCAAATAAAGAAAACATCATGGATGCACAAAATTAAAGGACCTAGACGGTTAGGGTATATGAAAGGTAGTAGTGGGAAATAATGCTAAAGAGTCATAGAGTGAATATGTCTTTGAGTGTACTGAATACCAGCCATACTCCAAAAACTGAACTGACAACAGGAAGTTGTTATAGGAGTAAAAGATCAGCTTCAGCATTTTGTACTAAAAAAATTGATATAGCAGTTTTTTTGTGGGATGGACTGATAAATAAGCTCCCAAAGGTAGGGAGATCTGTTAAAAAGGTATCTCATTAATCCTGTAGGCTTTGAGATTGAATAAAGAAGGCAAGCAAGGGATTCTGTAAAAGTAGAATTGGTATGAGTAAAAACTAAGTAGATGTGGGTGGGGTAAAGAGAGAAAGAAGTCAAAACATAGTCTGAGGTTTTGAGCTGATGTAGGAGGACGATGACTTCATTCATTGAAATACAGGACCCAGGCGAAGGAGATTTGGGAAAGAAATTGGTGTGTTTACCAAAAATCTTAAATAAAAAAATCCTAGTCAAAATCTTTATGAAGCTAAATAGTTTCTTATCTTTTCATCTTTTATAAATTAATTCAGATGTATTTGGAGGGCTCATTATTCTTGATACCTTCAAAAGTCTACAGAAGCAACATTTTGTTTACTAAAATGTTTTGCAATTGTTAAAAGTGAAAATCAGAGGGCTATATTGTTCACTTAAGCTTAACAGAGTTGAATTACATTGTCACAATAAATGGGAGGAGCTGCAAGGTGTCCTCCCACCACTGAGGAAAATAAGGCTTGTTAAACTTAGCTGTTATTAAAAATGTAAATGTACCCTAATTTTAGCAAATGGAAAGTTTCTGCTTAACACAGAGACAATTGCAACCTTTCTCTTATGTAATCATGTTCTATATGTTTTTCTTTCTAATAAAAAAAGAACATTTGAAGGAATCAGTAATAATCCTATTGAAGAAAGAAAGAATAAAATGTAACTCCCTGATAAAAACATCTTTTATGTACTAACTGAAAATGGCTGTGATGGAGCCCCGTTAGGCTCAAATATATTGTAATATTTTTCCCTAACTTGGTTAACAATTACAAAACCCAGAGACCAATCTGTCAAAGAAACTTTTCCAAGCTGAAGCATCTGCTTTTGTGGCAATTTTTTCAATCAATTGTATAGAAAGTTTTGGAGTTGTCTTGAGTTCATCTGTTAATTTGTCTACTCAAATTAAGTATATGACATTATAAGTAGCATAGACTTATTTCTTGGTCACCAAAAAACAAAATCTAGTAGCATATTTTTGCCACATGAGTTTTATAATCATATCTTTCTTGGCCCCTGAAACACCTACTAAACAGATATCTCTTGTCCACAGTTATAGACCCTATAGCTTGAATTTTTTTTCTGTGTAAACGACAGAGGAGTCCTCTACATATTAATCCTGTTCTCTCCACCCTGCCCTCATACCTATATAATTATTTAGAACAAAAATAGCCTCTAGTATTGATGCGCTATTGTGCTTTATATTTTAATGTGTGTCTGGACAAATTCTAATTGAAAGGCTTTATGCAATTTATCAGAGTCACTTTGCTTGGTCACCTACTTGTGCTAACGCATTCATGATTTCAGCACCCTCAGGACATCAGGTGAACTTTTAGAAGATGAGACCACCACATTGTACTGTGATTGCCTCCTCTCTTGTTAATATACCCCTACAGAATTTAAGCCATCTGAGGCGAAGGACAGTGTCTACTTTAGGAGTTTGTCTGAATGCCTGAACCCTTTAGAAAACAAGGAGGGAGTGAAAAGTTTATCTTGGGCCAAGACTTCTGACAGTAGGAAAATTCAAAACATTGGCTGGTATCCTAAAGGGAAGTCAAGGGAGTACTAGGGAAATTAGATTATAATTATTATCTGAAAATTGAAAAGCATAAGAGAATTAAAAATCTCTAGTTTTTATTTCCTTAAATATCTATCTAATATATCTGCATGTATTTTTGTATGAAAGCATGTGTTTATTTTTTCATTTAATTGTGATAAAGTATATCTAACAAAATTTATTTTCTTAACCATTTTTAAGTGTACACTTCAGTGGCATTATGTACATTCACATTGTTGTGCAACCATCACCACCATGTCTCCAGAACTCCCTTTACCTTGCAAAACTGAAACTCGTACCCATTCAATAACTCTCCTTTCCCCCCATCCCACCAGCCCCTAGCAGCCATCATTCCACTGTCTGTCTTTATCAATATGACTACTCTACATTCTTCATGTAAGTGAAATTATATAGTATTTGTCTCTTTCTGACTGGCTTATTTCACCTAGCAGAATGTCCTCAAGGTTCATCCACATTTTAGTAAGTGTCAGATTTTCTTCCTTTTTTAAGGCTGAATAACATTCTGTTGTATGCATACACCACATTTTGTTTATCCATTCCTCCATCCATCAGTGACACTTGGGTTGTTTCCACCTTTTGGCTCTTGTGGATAATGCTGCTATGTACATGGGTGTGCAAGGATCTCTTCAAGACCGTGCTTTTAATTCTTTGGCGTATATACCCAGAAGTAGAATTGTTAGATCATGTGGTTATTCTTTTTTTTTTTTTTTGAGTCGGAGTCTTGCTCTGTCGCCCAGGCTGGAGTGCAGTGGTGCGTTCTCGGCTCACTGCAAGCTCCACCTCCCAGATTCACGCCATTCTCCTGCCTCAGCTTCCCAAGTAGCTGGGACTACAGGCGCCCGCCACCACGCCCGGCTAATTTTTTGTATTTTTTAGTGGAGACGGGGTTTCACCGTGTTAGCCAGGATGGTCTCGATCTCCTGACCTCGTGATCTGCCCACCTCGGCCTCCCAAAGTGCTGGGATTACAGGCGTGAGCCACTGCGCCTGGCCAGTTATTGTTTTTTAATTTTTTTGATGAATCACTATACTATTTTCCATAGTGACTGCACCATTTTATCTTTCCACCAACAGTGCTCATTTTATCGGCATCCTCACCAACACTTACTCTGTTTTTTTGATAGTAGCCATCCTAATGAGTGTGAAGTGGTATCTCCATGTAGTTTTGATTTGCATTAACCTAATGATTAGTGACATTGAACATCTTTTTATGGTCTTATTGGTCATTTGTATATCTTCTTTGGAGAAATATCTATCTATTCAGGACCCTGGCTCATTTTTAAATTGAGTTGGTTTTTTTTGTTGTTAAGTTGTAGTTCTTTACATATACTAGATACTAACCCCTTATCAGATATATGATTCACAAATATTTTTCTCCCATTCCATGGGTTGTCTTTTCACTCTGTTGAATGTGTCCTTTGATACACAAAGTTTTAAACTTTGATGTAGTCCAAATTTATCGTTTTTTTCTTTTTTTGCATGTGTTTTGGTATCATATCCAAGAAAGCATTGCCACCTCCAATATCATGAAGCGTCTCTGTTTCTGCTAAGAGTTTTATAGGTTTAGCTTTTACATTAGGTCTTTGACCCATTTTGAGTTAATTTTATATAAGATATAAGGTGTCTTAGTCCACTTAGTGTTGCTATAACAGAATACCTTACAATGTAAGGCAACGTAATTTACACAGAAAAGAGGATTATTTAACTCATAATTCTGGTATGCTAGCAAGTTCAAGATTGGGCAGCTGCATCTGGTGAGGGCCTCAGGCTGAAGAGAAGTGGGGCAAAGATATCACATAGCAAGAGAGTTAGCAAGAGAGAGAAACCAAGGAAGCCAGACCGTGTTTAACAACCTGCTCTCTCAGGAACCAATTCATTCCCATGAGCAGGAGGACTCACTCACTCCCTCAGGAAGGCATTAATCCATTCATGAGGGATTAGTCCCCATGACCCAAACATCTCCCACTAGGCCTCACTTCCCACCACTGCTATGTTGGGGATTAAATTTCAAAATGAGTTCTGGTGGGGACAAATCACATCCAAACCATAACATAGGGTAAGTTTCCAACTTCATTCTTTTGCATGTGGATATCCAGTTTTTGCAACATCTTTTGTTGAAAGGACTGTTCTTTCCCATTTAATGGTTTTGACACCCTTGTTGAAAATCATTTGACCATATATCCAAGAGTTTATTTCTGGGCTCTCTATTCTGTTCCATTGGTCTATTTATCTGTCTTTATGCCAATACCACAGTTTTAATTCATTTAGCTTTGTAACAAGTTTTGAAATCAGGAAGTGTGAGAGGTTCAACTTGCTTCGTTTTTCAAGATTTTTTTGGCTATTTGTGTTCCCTTAAGAGTCTATATAAATTTTTTCTTTTTATTTATTTATTTATTTATTTATTTATTTATGTTTTTGAGACAGGGTCTCGCTCTGTCACCCAGGCTGGAGTGCGCTGGCATAATCATGGTTCACTGCAACCTTGAACTCCTGGGCTTGAGAGATCTATATGAATTTTAAGGTGAATTTTTCTTACTCAGCATAAGACAAGAAATTGTTGGGATTTTGATAAAGACTATGTTAGACCTGTAGATGGTTTTGGATAGTATTGGCATTTTAGCACGATTAAGTCTTTCAATCACCAATATATCTTTAAGGCTAAGAACAATGGCCATTTTTTTTCTAATTTAAAACACTAGAAAGACACCATAAACATTTTATGCTATTGTTGAGGGAGTGAAAATTTGAATGGTGCTGTTTATTAAAAAATTGAAACAACCAGTGTAATTGACTAGTTTGGTGAAAATTAATCTGAAGGCCCTTGATACCTTCATAATACCTAATCTTCAACATCCAAGAATGTAATGTGTCTTTCCATTTATTCAAAACTTGTCTCTCTAAGAAAAGTTTTATTGATTACTTCATGCACTTTCTATGGATTTGTTAAGTTTGATCATGATATAAATAGGTATGCACACACATATGTATGTGCATATATATTACTATTGTAAATTTTCCCCGCCACATTTCATAACTGGACTTTGTTTTTGTTGGCATGAAGAAAAATTCATAAGTTTCTACTGATTTTAATTCATTTGGGTTTTATAGAGTAAAAGAAAATCACATCTGACAATAATGAATATTTTGTTCTCCTATCCTGTAATTACACCCTGATGTTCGTGGACTAAAGTTTACAGAAATACGTCAGCAAATAATAATGGTATTAGCATGCATCATGTACTATTTCTGACTTTTGCTGGAATGCCTGTAATGTTTTATCATTAAACATGATAGAACCTAATGATATATTATCATATTTTTAAATATCTATTTTTAGTTTATTATGGGTTTTATTTTTTGATTAAGGATCGGATATTGAATTTTATCAAATACATTTTCTATATTATATCAATCAGTAATCATCCAGGAAAACAGAAGTTACTCCATGTAATTAAGATACAAAGTTTATTATAATAATTATGAGCTTATTCAACTGTTGGAAGACCTGAAAAAACAAAGATCAGGAAGTTCAAAACTCAAGAGCTCAGCCTGAAACACCATGGCAGGTAGTTGTCAAGGACTCTCATGACAGCCACTGTGAATCTCATATTTGCTCATGTTAGTTTCCAACTGCCTCCAGAGAAGTGGTTTCTCCTCTTGTGTCCTATAAATCTCTCTCTTTTTGAAATTATTTACTTATTTATTTATTTTTAAATTGTATTTTTATTTTCACATCTTTAGAGACAAGGTCTCACTTTGTTGCCCAGCCTGGAGTGCAGTGATGTGATATAGCTCACTGTAATCTAAAACTCCTGGGCTCAAGTGATCCTCCTGCCTCAACTTCCTGAGTTGCTATGACTGCAGGCACACACCACCAGGCATGGAATTTTTTTTTTTTTTTTAGAGACAGGGTCTCCCTATGTTGCCCAGGGTAGTCTCGAACTCCTAGTCTCTAGTGATCCTTCTGCCTTGGCCTCCCGAGTAGCTGTAGTGTAGCACTCACACTACAGGTGCACGCCACAGTGCCTAGCTATTTATTTATTTACAGAGACAAGGTCTTGCTATGTTGCTCAGGCTAGTCTCAAACTCCTGGACTCAAGGGATCCTTTCACCTTGGCCTCTCAAGTGTTGGGATTACAGATGTGAGCTACCATGCCCATCTACCCTATAAATCTCCTCAATCCTTCTTTTTTTAAAAAAATGTAATTATTTTATTAAGCATTATATTCAATGTAAAGGCTTTAACCACCATAATCACCATGATAGAATATGTGTGTATGTATAAAAAATACCCATTGAACATGCCTTAAGAGGTATAATTATGTTTTTAAATCTATGCAACATGAGATGTAATTTGAAATAAAGAACGACTAATCAGAAGCATGAAAAAACCCTGTTTTAATATGAATCTATTGCTGATTCTGGAATAATGGTCACGTGTATGTCCTTAGTCACACTGGGTTTCTCCAGTTTTGATTAGAGTAATGTGTGTTCCACAACACCAATTCTAATGTCCATCTGAACAGTTTCTTGCTTCAGTTTTGTTAAGCTCTGTTTAATCTTAACCAAAGAATCACCACCTCTTAACCAAAGAATCACCATCAGTCATGCTGCTGCACTTTTCTTCCATTTCTAGTTTTACATGTTCTGTCTTCTGTAGCCTCAGACAGAAGTCTGGTCCTTTCAATTACTCCACCACTTCCTTGCTGGCTCCTTACATCACTCAGCTGGGTTTGAGCTGCAGGATATTCTTGAACCCTGTGCTCAAGCTGATGGTTGATGTACTTTTCACAGTGGCTGATCTTTTCCAAAGTCTTACTAATTTCTTTTAAAAATTTATTTATGTATTTATTTTACAGGCAAGGTCTTGCTGTTGCCCAGGCAGTAGTGCAGTGGTGCAATCATACCTCACTGCAGCCTCAAACTCCTGGGCTCAAACAGTCCACCCACCTTAGCTTCCCAAGTAGCTAGGACTGCAGGCATGAGTCACTCCAGTTAACTATTAACTTCATTATGGAGTTTGTCAAAAAATCGCTTGCTCTCTTTTAGAGAAGATTCAATTCCACTTTTGTGCTGGTACATTTGGTCAACATGGATTCTCTGATCCATTGCACCTTTCTGCAGTATTTGGCTGCAGAAAGAAGCACTTGCTTCTTATTGGCAAATTCTAACGAGGAGTGGTAGCCCTTGACTTCTGCTCTGCAAATGTCAGGAGACCATAAAAAAAGAACAAAAGTCATGCCCAGCTAGATTGTTGTTTGCATATGATGGCAACAGAAAGACATTCTCTTATATGTATGGCTCAGAAAGTATACCACCCAAATATTCATTTTTTTTCTTAAACTCATGTTCATTGAATATTTTAACATCTAGGAGTTATCAATGTAGTTATACCTTATGTAAAATGTGATTATTCCTAAAGAAAATTGGGCTATAGATACAATTGTTAATTAGAGGGTTAAGGGAACCAAGGAAGAGGAATATGGGTGTACATATTATGGATAAAAACCCAAATATCCTTAATGAAAAATGTATCAAGAGGTGTCCCAGCCCAATGAGAGATGCATCAAAATAAACAATAAAAGAAAGGAGAAATGATAGTAAAAAAGGAATTGGGAAGAGTACCAAAGGTAGTTCAACAGTGAGTTCAATTTAAATAACAGAAATCCTGATGCAAACTTAATGCCACTGTCAACAAATTTTGAGATGTATATTTTCAAATATTGAAGATAAACATTAATAGAATTTAAAACAATATAGCAACATAAGGATTTAAAATTTTACAATAGTCATATGAAATTGAATATGAGGGAATTTGGTTTTATATTTTGTATTATATTTATTTATTTATTTATTTATTTTTATTTTTTCAGGCACAGTCTCACTCTCTTACCCAATCTGGAGTGCAGTGGTGTGATCTCGGCTCACTGCAACCTCTGCCTCATGGGTTCAAGCAATTCTCCTGCCTCAGCCTCCCAAGTAGCTGGGATTACAGGTACGTGCCACCACACCCAGCTAATTTTCATACTGTCAGCAGAGACGAGGTTTCACCATGTTGGCCAGGCTGGTCTTGAACTCCTGACCTCAAGTGATCTGCCTGCCTCGGCCTCCCAAAGTGCTGTGATTACAGGCATGAGCCACTGTGCCTGGCCATCTTTCATATTTTTTAAACACTGTTGGTAACAGATAAATCTATATAATCATTTTGTAAGGTAATTCGATAACACATTGCAGATTTTTTCTAAGTGCACAACCAAGTGTTTCTACAATTAAAACTTTTTTAAAGAAATAAGCAGATAACATGCAAAGATTTATATATAAGAATGCTCTTTACATTCTTGCTTATGATGGCAAAAATATAGATCTATCATCTTTGTTCTCATCCCTTTGTCTCGCCACCCTTTTTCTTCTGAAAACTAATTTTATTTTCTGCAATGTTGCTTCTTTTCTTATGAAGACTTTTTAAAAAACCCATTGCATTTTTAGTTTATTAAATCTTCCCTTTTCTCATTCAACCACTTTTAAATGTTGTCCTTTTTTAAAAGATTACTTTCCATTGTCTCAGTTTATAGACTTGCCTCTGATCTTTCCTGTTATTTCTTTCCTTTCCTTTTTTTTTTTTTTTTTTTTTTTGGAGACAGAGTTTCTTTCTTTCTTGTTGCTCAGGCTGGAGTGCAGTGGTGCAATCTCGGCTCACTACAACCTCCGCCTCCTGGGTTCAAGTGATTCTTCTGCCTCAGTCTCTTGAATAGCTGGGATTACAGGTGCCCACCACCACGCCTGACTAATTTTTTGTATTTTTAGTAGAGATGGGTTTTCATCATGTTGGCCAGGCTGGTCTCGAACTTCAGACCTCAGGTGAACCACCAGCCTCGGCCTCCCAAAGTGCAGGGATTACAGGCGTGAGCCACTGTGCCTGGCCTCCTCTGTTATTTCATAAGAGCAGGTTCTCTTGACTTTTTCCTCAACGTGGCTCCATTTGCCCTAAAACTATTAGGAATCTCTTGAGTGTTGTGACAGGTCAATGGTACCCTTCCATAGTTTCTAGTACCAATTCTGGGGTTAAACCATTCTTGAATTTCAATAGGAAGATGTTAATTGAGGTTTTAGACAGCTGTGTTCATGCTGCCATCCTAACCAGGAAATGCTCTTTGGATTGTGCTATATATAGTATTGATAGCAGTGTGATGATTATAGCAGCAGTGTGATGACTATAGCAGCAATGTGAATAACAGACAAGAGGGATGTCCAGATCTAAGACAGAGGACCTATTTATGGGGATATAAAAAATATTCTAGGAGAAAAAAAGAAAATGAGGGTACAAACTAAACCTACTTCATCAAAATGGAGAACAGAGGGTAAATTTGAAAATTATTTAATTGGTATTAATTACAAACATGGTGGTTTATTCATGTGGGGATTGAGGGAAAAATGACATAAAGAGAATTTTTCACAAATATCTACCTTGGATGACTGGGCTAAGGATAGATTGCTAATTGAGACAGGAAATAGTTGATGAAAATCAGAATTCTGACATTTGGACAATAATTTCAGTTGGAACTTACAGAGTTTGAGTTATTTAAAAGAAAGTAGGTGGAAATGCCAACTAAACAATTCAAAATATAAAAATGAATCTTAAGTTTGGAGATGGAGATACGGATTTGAGCATTTTCGATGGACTGTAGTTAAAACCAGAAAGAAGGGAGGAGAATAGGCTGAGGGTGGAACCCAGAACACCAATATTTAAGAAGTGGTTAGAAGAAAATCTAGCGATGGGGGCTGAGAAGCAACAGTTTAATAATTAGAATTAGGCTCTGAGAGTGCGGCATCACGAAAGCCAAATTAGGAGAAAGTTTCAAAAGGAAAGAATAGCCAAAGCATCAAAGGGACTAGAGCCATCACAGGAGGGGATTGAAGAGTGGCCATAGGAGATGGTGATTCTGTCATTAGCAATCTCAGAGCTGGATCACTGGACTGTCAGATGGAATCTGTTGGAATGTTGTAGTGGCTTTAGGAGTTAGAAAAAGCTGACGAAGCTTGGCTGAAAAAGGAAAGGAAGACATGTCTTTCAATTACCTATGAAATATTTCCTTGCCTTTTTTTTCAACTTTATGTACATCTTTATTAAAGTAAAAATTCAGAAAA
The DNA here is from genome assembly GCF_000001405.40 of Homo sapiens. Taxonomy (NCBI): domain Eukaryota; kingdom Metazoa; phylum Chordata; class Mammalia; order Primates; family Hominidae; genus Homo; species Homo sapiens. The sequence goes on along the minus strand of NC_000012.12, from coordinate 28,161,918 downwards.
GTGTGCAAATCCCAAATGTGCAAGTCAGCGAATGCTCACAAAGCAAATACACTCACGTACACTCCTGTAACCCACACACAGTCAAGAAACACACTGCCAGATTCTCAAAAGCCTCTTTTGTGGTCCCTCCTTTCACTACCCATCCCCCATTTCTACCAAGCATAACCATTAACTTGACTTTTAACACCGTAAGTCAACTTGTTGTCTCTGTACTTCTCCGTCTTTTGAAATAAAACTTACCTAATGTAATTTAATATTTTTTCAACAAGTTAAGATCATTATTATGAATATTAATTACAGGATGAGGCAGTAGTAGGATTATTGGTCTTGTATTCCTAGATCCTGGCAGAGGACCTGAAGCATAATGGATGCTGCCAAATTAGTTGAGTGAAGGAATGGATCTTCATAATCCATTCCCATGCTATTAATCTTACTATTTCCCAGTGTTTTTATTTTTTATTTTTTTAATTATTATTATTATTATTTTTGAGACGGAGTCTCCATCTGTCGCCCAGGTTGGAGTGCAGTGGCGCGATCTCCGCTCACTGCAAGCTCCGCCTCCCGGGTTCACGCCATTCTCCTGCCTCAGTCCCCGAGTAGCTGGGACTACAGGCGCCCGCCACCACGCCCGGCTAATTTTTTGTATGTTTTAGTAGAAACGGGGTTTCACCGTGTTAACCAGGATGGTCTCGATCTCCTGACCCCATGATCTGCCCGCCTCGGCCTCCCAAAAGTGCTGGGATTACAGGCGTGAGCCACCACGCCTGGCCGCTACATACCAGTTTTTTTAGTAAGACTTTCTCAAAGCCATTGCAAGTGCTTTGGATTCAAAAAAACTAGCTAAAGAATTTACTTTCTCCTAGAGTATGCAGATATTGGCAAGAAAAATGCTACACCAAAACAAGAATTAGAACTGTTCATTTATCTCTGAGAAATACTTTTTAGCTTGATCCTTCCTTCAGCATTTTTATACATCCTGCTCTTTATTTCTACTGCTGTTCAGGACTGTCTCCTAACAACCTTCCTAAATTGTCAATTCTACAATTAATTAGCAAAATCCCTGACTCATTTGTTCTCCTCTAAACTCTTGTATAGCTTTAATACATGCAGTTGTTGTTATTAATAGCAAGATCCTTAAGAACTAGAACTTATTTTATTCCTTAAACCATGGAGATAGACCCTAAAATCATATAGCTCTGTATGCAACTCCAAAATATTTATATATTTTTGTTATAAAATAAATTCATTTGTAGTGAAAACTAGCCGAGTGGAAATGCGATTAGAAATCAACTGTCATTGATTTCATATGACTCTGTTAATTGCCATTCCTTCCACATATTCTCCATTCTATTTAATTTGCTCAGATACCATTAAAATATTATCCTCAAGGAAACTTACAGGGATTCAAACATTTAAGATTAAAACCATAAGTGAAAACTGCTTCTCTGCCCATACTCTCCATGCGTGTTCCTAACAAAAGCAAAGATTAAATCAAATCCTTTCTTGCATTTGGATGGCGCATTTAACTCACTCTGCCTGAACAATACGTCCATTATGACAAAGTACCACCATTACTTCTATGAAGAGATAGAAGGTATTTTTTTCTGTTCAGAAAAAGAAACTAAATTTTTTTTGTAAAACCTAGGTTGTGTGATTATATGAAAAGCTATATTTGTAAACATAAGAGACTCTTATCAAAAACAAAATATAATATTCTTGTTATAAAGTGTGATTTTTTTCTATAATGAGCTATAAAGAGCAAAAAATTCAGATATGAAATATTCTACGGCTCTAGGAAGAATAGACTTTTTGAATCATAAATATTTTATATGAGAGAATACCAACTGACAGTTCTAGGTGTTCTAGAGTATGTATTATTTAAACCCCAGCTAATTTATATAGAGAACAGATATAACTAATGATTGAAGCAAAGGTAAAAGCACAAAATTCAAGAAATATAAAAGGGAAAGGGCAGAAAAGGCAATTTGGTTGTACCAGAAGGCCTGGCCTCAGGATAGCTATTGACTTAAGGAAAAAAAATTAGCTTTGACCTTCATAGTCAAGCCAAAAGATACAGGGTTTTTTAGTTACACGGGTTTTTAAAATATAATAAAAAGAATCATACCAGTTAGGAAAACTTCTTCCTAGTATTAAACTCTAAAACAGGTTAATCATATGGATCTTCATGTTGACCATACAGGACAAAATAATATTTAAAAAAATAAATATCTTATATATAAGTTTCAGAAATATTAAGGGCATTATGGAAGTTTATGTCACAGTATGTCAATATAAGTTGTGGTACTTTCAAGGCAAATATAAACTTCAGTTTGTTAATTGGGTTTTCATTGTTTCAAGCCGGTTTTAAAATATCGACATTCAGTATCTTTAAACAGCTTTACATTCGCAAAACTTTTTTTAAGAAGCAAAAATTGAAAGGTAAGGGGAGCTAAGAAGGAAAGAACAAGGAATTGATGTTAATATTTACTGAACATCTTCTCAGGCTGAGCAATGCTACATTAGTGACACCACAATTCATTTGTGTTGACTGCAACGTCTTTGCTGCAGTCTATATTTTTGGCTACCTGTTTTCTGCATTTATGAGGTATGAAGAGGCTAAATGTGTAAGAATCTGTACAGCAAAAATAAGACCTGTGTTTCTTAATCTTAGTTTCCAGGTTTTTCCATAGAACAGCCTTTTGGTCTCTTCAGATGTGTGGGTTTATTATATATAATAATTTCAAATGTTTTTATCAACACAACAAGCACTTGACATTTACAACTTGGGCAAAATACTGGACATTTGTTTCTGGACAAATGGAGACCTATATCTAATTATTCAACATTTTCCTCTTTTATTCAAATTATTCCTCTTTTGAAAAATGGTTTTATACATAAATTTAAAAATTATTTTTGTGAAAAAAATTTTATTAATGAAAGAAGGTATAGAAGATTGAATGTTTTCTTCCTTACATAATGTTTTTTATTTCCTTATGGTCTTCTTGTTTCATCATACATTTTCTACATGTTTTACTTTCATCGCAAGCTACTACAACAGAATTCAAAAATACAAGATTCTTAAGCCCAAAACATTGCAGAAGAATGAGAAATGGTACTTATTAACTATGTACAGTGCTGCAAACTTCTGGCAATTAATTTCAATTAAGTTATTTACAAGGTGTGCCACTGCTAACTTTGTGCCCAGATGTTTCATTTGGCAACATGTGATGGCCACCAATGTAGTCAATTTCAGTAACAATCACTCATTGATGGAATTTTCACACTGAATTCACAGCACCTTCATAACATTAGTACATGATGTCATCACCCTTTGCCTCATCATAACCGTAAAAATGCCAATACGAGTTGCAACAAATTACTGCGAGCAATTTCTTAGTTCTAGAGATGTTGTAGTGAACACCTGGGCTGGCTCAGAATCTAGCAGCTTTCAAAGTTTCGTTACCAGATGTTTGTGGAACAACTTATGCATGTATGGAAAACATATTTTTTTTTTTCATTTGCATGAACGATTACCAGACCTTTGGAAGTAGTGGAAACACATGTTTTATGAAAAAAGAAAGTTAATAAGGGTTCATTAGGGAAATATTTTTATTTAAATCAGCATGGTTGGTCTTAAACATTGTGAACTGAACTGCAGAATCATGCTTGTATGCAATTATTTGTTTATGTAGTAAAACACGTCCTCACAAATTAGGCAGTATTGTGATCATAACTTTCTTGGGTGAAGAAAAGAACTTATGAAAGTTTTAATAATATTAAATTTTTTAAACCAGCTTTTAAAGTATCTGATTTTGTTTAATAATTTTGTAAATTTTCAGAATAATATTTATTATAATTATGTCTTTATTTTCTTGACTATACATCCTCTTAAAAAAAGACAAAGACTATTTAAAATTGTGTTTTCTTTTTATTTATTTATTTATTTATTTATTTAAAATGTGTTTTAATAAAAAAAAATTTATTTAAAAATGTGTTTCTCTTTACCATTAATTTAACATAATGTTGACTTTTATTACATTTTAGGAAAACTGCACTTCGTGATTCAGATAATAAATGTTTTTAGGAAAACACTTCTCCATGTCATTTCAAAATATATTCTCTACCCATAATGAAAATATGAATTGGAAGAAAATCATTATTCATTTTTTATCTATTTCTTAGAGTATTCTTATTTTTAATTTAAGGAAAATGATTTAATTTAAGCATGATTCTTAGTTTTTTAATTAACTGAAATGCTCGTCCTATGAAAATAAACCGGCCTTCCCTTTTTTAAACTATTGTTCCCACTGAAATTCATTTTATTTTATATAAGGAGGTGAAATGGACCACATTTTCCTCCTCTGGGCAACTGAAAAAAGTTGTTAAAACTATTAACAGCTGTAAAGTAACTGTTAGATATTGAGTGATTTCATTTAGTTCAAAAGAACTCTAAATTTATCCAGGTGTTAAAGTTTTGTTAAGTCCCAGGTAAAATAAAAGGATATTCTAGTAGAGATGCATTTTAAAATTTGATGAATACATTATGTTCATAAAGTCCAAAGCATAAGAGAATATATTTCTGTTACTTACTAAATGAACAGGTAAGTGAATATTAAAACAAAACAAAAAAACCCACAAAAACTCCCGTCTTGAGAAACAACACCTTTAATGAGAATTGAAAATTACACGTACCATTAAAACAGACCTGTTCGCTATCAAGGTATAAGCTGAAGTGCCCAAAGCAAACACACATTAGTAGGCTCGATGGTAAATTTGGAGTGAAAAACCTCTTTGCAGCTTTAGCACTTACAAGCTGGATGCGTATCTCCCTTTGCACGGTTAGGAAGCTCAGAGCGACCCTGGGGTCCTGCCCTGATGATTTAGTTCACCTTTCCTTCTTCATACTTCCAGGAATCCTTCCATATCTCCAGGGAGCCGTTATGAGCTGCTGAGTGGCATTGCACACTGAGGAGTCCATATTTTCTCATTCCTTGTTTGTTATAAGACTTGGGCCCAAGAGAGTGTGAAAGAATGCCCGTGAATGTAGTCTCCCGTGTTTGTTTTATTAAGAAAATGTAAATGTCTCACTGTTGCATTTTTTACCCAAAATGATCCTGAAAGTTTAATATTCACCCAAAGGCAAAGTAACAGAGTACTTCTTAGTGCCTATGTTAAAAAGGAGCTGCAATTTGTTTTCAGTCCTTGGGACATTTTTACACTCCCATTACATAAAATAAATAATCACAAAGGAAATTAAACCACAAAGGAACTATGTTAAAGCCATGTTAAGTGCCTGACCTAAATATATAAAACAAAGGAAATACATGGTTGTGGTTAGAATTTGGTCTTTAAGACTATTGCATTTACAGCACATAGTAACATGGTAACAATATGTTAGGGAGATTCTTAAGCTGTATTTATTCAAAGCAACATACTTGGAAGAGGAGTGAAAGATTTCACAGAATTATCCCAACGTTTTATTCATTTGAGATAAAACTGCTAGTTTTTTAAAAGTGTTAGTATTGTTGGCAATTTGAGAATGCTTACTAATTATATTTTATGTCTCTTCTATATGCAAATATAATTTCCACCAAAAAAAGTTGAACATCCATGGTTAGTGTCAAAAGACAAAATTATAACAAACATAGTTCAAATTTGCTTTAATTCGCAATTCTAGAATCAGGCAACACTTCATTCTATAAAATGGAATGAGTGTTCCAACGAGCTGAGCAGGAGAGTTTGGCTTTATGGGCAGAAAATAGCTGAAGAAAGCAGAAACAGAGCAAAAAGGGATTGATCGTTTCAGCTACTTTCCTTGTAAAGCTTAAAGCAGTGGGGACTTCCTTATCATGCCAGCTAAAATGGGCCTCTTTTGGGGATTTTGCTATTAAATCTCTCTCTCTCCTGGTTTTTCAGAAGATCAGATAAACAGCTTAGTTTTGGCTTGATGGTGTGGAACTTCAGCATCAGTAACTCCAGTTTACTTTGGTTTGTTGGGCCTAATGCAGGAGCTCAGCCCAAACCAATGGCCCCTGTAAATTTTATTTAATGTTAGCGCAAGTCTCCCATGTCAGTACCTTGTGAAGCTCTTGCCTCCACAGGCAAACTGTTCAAAATGAATGCATACTGTGCCTGCTCCAAGGAGCTAATGGAGGAAGGAGAGTTCTGCTATCCCCTTGACATCAATCTTAGAGAAATTTATAAACGTGTCTTGGGAAGTTGGTTTTTGTTGAAATTGTATTTTGATAATATTTTAAAATTTCCTAATTCTTTGCAAAGATTTTTTATATGCATTTTCTAATTTAATTGCATTTCAGTTTTTCTCTGTAGATTCAGATGACCTGATTATTTTGGGAGGATTTAGCACCAAAAACAATTAGGAAAATTACATCTAGACTAGAAGAAAGGAAAATTGAGTTATTTGTTTAACTTGTAATTTATATTATTATTAAATTTGGCCCTTATTTGAAGGTACCCTTAAAAACAGCATCAAAGTAAGCAGGAGTCTAATGGTTTAATGCAATGTGTATGGAATTGGGAGAGTTATCCTATGTAGAAAGAAGCCACAATGCTAGATTGTGATTGTGATGTTTCACTGGGTTATGCTTTAGTATACACTCACAAACCTTCACTCAACAGCTGTTAAAGTCCTGAGAGACAACCCATACAGCAACTCAGGGACAAAATTAGACTTGGGAGTTTCCTGTTCCTTAATTAAATTTAAACTGCTTTCTGCAGTGACAGGGCTCCAATTAGCAGACAAGTTCAAAGAAAAATCTAACATAGTTACCTGTGGCTATATCATAAGCTTTAATGCAGCCCAGGGTTTGGAGAATACAATCTTAAGTGAGCCTTCTGGATCTACCTTAACAGTGACAAATTTAATTCATATAAATCATGAAGCCCAGAGGGAAGTTTCTTTTCTTTGTTGTGTTTATTCCTAAGTGGTCTAATCCACATATATGAATCACACATAAATGCAGTGCTTGCTTGGGAAGACTATCTCCCTTTGTTCAACATGAAGTGTACTTCCCACAAAACCCATCCACAAAAGCTGGTTCTTAGATTTTCACACACTTCAACAAATACAACCAAAAAATGCTAACATACTATAAGCATTTCTATATATTTAATGTACTCAAATAGTATTGAAGATACTAGGGAAAAAATAATGCACTTTGTGGGCTCTTCATGAGGCTTCCAAATTCTCAATGTCTTGAACTTTCTCAAAGCAGAATGTATAATGATTTCTTCAAAATGTCAATTATAATTTGTTCCCCTTTCTCACTACTTAAAATTGTTAGAGACCATCCATTTTAAGTCAGCATTTTCAGAAAGGATCAACTGAAACTTGAACAGGCAGAAGGAAAAATGTTTCCACTTCTACCAGGCTTAAAAGAAGTTGGGCATCTTTTCGTATTTTTCTTATTAGCATTGTAATATAAAACATCTGTAATAATTTAGTGAATTAAATACATTAAAACAACAAATAAAAGAAGCTTTAATGAATAAAATACAGAAGACCCCATATGGCTGCTATTTCTTTCTTGACAAGAGGCACAGTCAAGCAGCTAGAGCCGTGAGTAACTGCTGGAAGGCAATAAACCCATGAACAGGATTGTGAGCTGCTGTGTGCTAATATGAAAAACAGCTTTTATTTATTTTGCCACCTTTGTAACAGCACATTAGATCCTGCCATTTCTCACCAATTTTCTTACTCTCTGTGGAAACGGTAGTTTCATAACTTATTTCTGTATAGTTCTTGTCTAACACTTTTTCTCTTACTTGTTAGGACACTCTCTTTTCTGTTTTTTTTCACCTCCAGAACTACCCCCTTTATCCAAACTATTATCTCCTACCTAGAGTACTGCAAAGCTTTCAAGGTCATATCTTTCTCTTCAATCAAGTTTAACCATTATATAGCAGTCAAATATCTTTTTTTAAGTAACTCAAATAACTCTTGAACCCAAGAACTTAAAGTAGTAGACAACTGCTTAATGGGGAAAATTTAAATTCTCTGGACTAGTAATTACAGGTCTCAATCACTTGGTCCTTCTGGAACTAACCATTTTTCATCTATTGTAATTCCACCAACAGTCTCTAAGCTTCATATAGGACAATTTCTATTACATCCCTATTTCACACACACACATTTATGGCTCACATCTCTTTGCCTTTGCACATACTCGTCTCCCAAGAATGAATGATTGCCCACTACTTTATGACAACTTACATCTAGGAGCTACAAATTTAAATGTACTCAGTTGACAGGCAAACAATATACTCACGATAGAGTAAATGATGGAATAAAACACTACGTAGTGGTACCAAGGATGGCTAAACTGGATAAGGCATGTTTCATAGACAGGCATTCAAATCTAAGTTGTTTTTTAAAACATCATG